>NW_021159999.1:0-25408 GCF_000001405.40 Homo sapiens
ATGGGAGGGTCGGGTTGGGTGTCATCTTTCAGGCCACAGGCCCTGGCCCCAACGTCCCGGGGAACAGTGAGGACACTGCCCAGAGCGCCTGGACCCTGACCCAGGGACCCTGGCCTTGCCCCGTGGCCCTGGCAGCCTCTGCTATTTCTGGTCCTGCTGAGCTGGGGCTGCTCATGGCCGCCGCTCCCTGCAGGCGCCGCACGCGGTTGCTGGCCGCAGAGGGGACCCCTGCATATGCTCCAGAAGTGCAGGGTGACCAAGCACCTCCTGTCAGCTGGCCTCGGGCTAGACGCTGGGGGTGCAGTGCGAACCCTAAATAAAGGCAGGAAGGGCCCTGGCGCTGCCCCATGGAGCTCTGAATCCAGTGTGGTCGGCACACAGCGGTGTCGGGGACACAGACACGGAGGTCCCGCTAACTAAGGCTGGGTCCCGCTTGGTCCCTGGGAAGCAAGGACAGCTCTCTCTGTGGGTGTCCAGCGGCTGCTGTGACGAATGAGCACATGCTGGGAGGCTTCCGACAACAGAGAATGATTCTCTCCTAGTGCTGGGGGCTGAAGAATCGGGGTGTCTCAGGGCTTGGCCCCCTCAGAGGCTCCAGGGGAGGGTTCTGCCTGCTGCTTCCAGCTTCTAGAGGCTCCAGGGGTTCCCTAGCTTGTGGCCACATGGTTCCCATCTCTACCTCTATCTTCACACAAGCCTCCACTTCCCCCATGTCGCTCCACTACTGCCTATGTCTCTCCTCTGCCCGGTGTCTCCTCTCCCTCCTGTGTCTCTCCTCCTCCCCCCGTGTCTCTCCTCCCATGTCTCTCCTCCTCCCCCATGTCTCTCCTTCCCCTCCATGTCTCTCCTCTCCCCACCGTGTCTTTCCTCCTCCCCCATGTCTCTCCCCCCGTCTCTCCTCCTCCCCCCATGTCTCTCCTCCCCCATGTCTCTCCCCGTCTCTCCTCCTCCCCCCATGTCTCTCCTCCCCCATGTCTCTCCCCGTCTCTCCTCCTCCCCCTGTGTCTCTCCTCCCATGTCTCTCCCCCCGTGTCCCTCCCCCCATGTCCCTCCTCTCCCCCTGTCTCTCCTCTTCCCCCCGTGTCTCTCCTCCTCCCTGTGTCCCTCCTCTCCCCCGTGTCTCTCCTCTTCCCCCCGTGTCTCTCCTCCTCCCCCGTGTCTCTCCTCTTCCCCCCGTGTCTCTCCTCTTCCCCCCGTGTCCCTCCTCCTCCCCCGTGTCTCTCCTTTCCCCCATCATGTCTCTCCTCCTCTCCGTGTCCCTCCTCTCCCGCTGTGTCTCTCCTCTTCCCCCCGTGTCTCTCCTCTCCCCCCATGTCTTTCCTCCTCCCCGTGTCCCTCCTCTTCCCCCCGTGTCCCTCCTCCTCCCCGTGTCTCTCCTCTTCCCCCCGTGTCCCTCCTCCTCCCCGTGTCTCTCCTCTTCCCCCCGTGTCCCTCCTCTCCCCCGTGTCTCTCCTCCTCCCCGTGTCTCTCCTCCTCCCCCTGTGTCTCCCTTCTGTATGTCTCCTAAGGACAGTTGTCATTGGATTAAGGGTCACCTGGACAATCCTGACAGTCTTCTCCCCAGTAACTTAGCCACATGTGGGAAGACCCCCTTTCTAAAGAAGGTTCCAGCCACAGGCTCCGGGGGCCACGGTCAGCCCACGACGCTCTCCACGCTTCAGTTTCCACATCTGTAGAATGGGGATGCAGTGAAGCCTGTCGGGCTGGGCAGTGAGGTGTAGTAATGGCACCGTGACTTTTGTCAACCCCTCTCCTGTGCCAGCCCAGACCCTCCTCCTTTGCCACCCGAGGTGAAGCCGCCCCTCCCAGGACCCAGGACCGGGGTTTTAGCCCCTGCTGGGCAGCCTGTCCCTCCCGTGTGTGGGGAATGGGGAGATTCTTGCTGGGGATGGACAGGGGCTGGGATCTTTAGCCCCGGATGGAGGTCTGCACTGTGACATGTGGAGCACGTGATTCCAGGGCCTCGTGGACCCAAGAAACTGGGCTTTTTAGTGCTTCCAATGCACCTTCTGTCAGCCCCGATGAAACGCACAGGTGACACGGCACCTGCCATCCACGCCAACCCCAGCTGCACCCCTCGGGCCCTCACCCGTCCTTTCCACCCCTCGAGCACCCCCAGTTCTTCCTGCTTCAGGGTCTCTGCCGCTGCCCCGTCTTCTCCAGCCTGCTGGGCTGGCTGTGCTGTCCCCACCGGGTGCCTGAGCTGGATGTGGTCGCCCCACCTTTTGCAGGGCCCTGAGGCGGCACCCACTGCTGAGGCCCCACTCCTGCGCTGGCCAGGCCTACCGTGCCATCCAGAGGGCACAAGCAGGGGGCCTCATGGCAAAGGTGGCACCAAGGGGCTTCAAATTCACAGCTGAGGGATGTCAGGGGAGAAGGAGAGGGCTCCAAGTGGGGGCGACAGGAGTGAAGGTGAGAGAGGAGGCGTGCCCGGGCATGGCATGGATGCCCACCAGGCATGGGGGTTGCCGTGTGAGTGTGCTCTGCCCACCGGTGGGTAGGGGCAAAGCACACTTCTGTGCCAGGGCATCTCCATGGGCCGGCGGTGTGCCTGGCCTCTGGGGAGGCTGAAATGGCCCAGCCAGCCACAGCCGAGGGCCCTGCCAGGTGGGGCAACTGCCTGGACACTGACCCTCCCAATGCCCCTTTCAGTTTGGTGCCACTGGCCTCATTTCAGATGAAGCAACGTCTCCTTAGAGAGGCACATGCACCCCCAGTGTCTCCCAGCCAGGCCCTCCTCTCTGCATGGGGTCCGTGGTGAAGACGGGAATGGAGGGGGCTGGCGGCCAGGTCACAGCTGTCCACACACACAGTGCCTTGGCCCGGAAGATCCTGCCGTCGGCCCTTCTCGTTAGCAAACAGGCCCGCAGCCCTCTGCCACTGCCAGTCCGTGTGGCTGCCCGGCTCCCTGCAGGGCGCCCTCGCTGGCTGACGGATACCCGCGTGCTCTCATTTCTTCCTGCCCGGGTCTCCTATTTATTTAGCCTGGAGTAACCCCTGCTGTTGCCTCTGCTCAGCTGGGAGCTAGCATCCTCTGTGCTTGGCCCTGCAACCTTGGGATTCTAGTCCCCGTGTTCCTCTGTCTTTCCAGGCTCTTGTCCAGTGTGAGCCCAAGGGACCCATCATTCAGGCTGCGGTGTGGACTGAGCACCCGGGGCCAGTGCTGCTGAGTGTTGAGCTCTCTCCCCTGCTTCCTGTTTCCTCCCCTGCAAACTCGGGTGAGCCCACCTCTCTGGAGGGGCCAGGCTAGGAGCAGACAAGGCCCTGTGTGCACAGTTTGAATGACACCAGCACACACCGTGGGCGCTGGAGAAGACCAGATGAGGTGATCCGCGGGTGTGGGCTCCTGGAGGGACCAGGTGCGTGCCGCGGACGGTTTTGTCTGAGCTGAGAGCGCATTTCAGGTTTCTAGGGAGGCCAGGAAGCCCTCAGGAGGGGCTGTCCGGATGTCCCACACTGGGAAGAGGTGGCATGGATGGGCATGGCTTCTAGAAGGAGGAGTCTGGGGGCGAGCATGTGAACAGGTTAGGAAACTGCAGAGCTCAGGAAGCAGCCTAGCAGGTGTCAGCCAGGAGTTCTGGGAAGTCTTTTTCAAAGAGGTGAGGCTCAGCTTTGATCTGAAGGACAAGAAGGAGCTGGTGACACGGAGATCTGGAGAAGGGGAATTCCAGATGCTGGGGCCAGCACGTGCAAAGGCCCTGGGGTGGGAATGAACCAGTCCTTGGAGGATGAGCCTAGGAACAGGACGAAGCTGGTGGAGGGGGCTCTTTGGGAGCCCAGAGACGCCTCCTTGTGCAGACAGCTCCCCATCTCAGCCTCAAGGAAGCGGCCCCGCCAAGCCTGTCTTCCTCCGTGGTACTTGCGGGTGGTCCTTCCTATGCTGGCCTTGTCCTCTCCCTCAGCCGATGGCTCCCTCGTGCACTCGATCATTGTCGCCTTTGGCCCCTCACTCCCCCCAGTACCAAGCAAGTCCCCTGACCCTCACACTCCAGGCCTCTGATGTCTGCAATCCCACCTTAACCCCACACCCATCGACACCCCAACTTCCAGCACCTCTCACACCCTCTCACCTCACAACCCAAAACCCCCAGGGCCGGATGAGCCTCACCCCCGCGGTGTCCTCTCTGTGGCTGTCCCTCTTGGGAGCTGCCTCCTTTCACTGCATCCCTGTGCGGTGAGCTCCCATTCCACCCCGCGCCCCTCTGGCCGTCCTGCCATTCCCTGGCTCATCTCACAGAGAAACCTCAGCGGGGCACGATGCCCTCGCAGCCCCCACTCCCTCCCCATTCACCCACAGATCTCCTCCACTCCAGCCCGGCTCCCCCTCCCCTGGGGATCCTGTGACCTCCGCATGAGGGTGCGTCTCCTCCTGAGCGTGGCCTCCTCCTTTTACCTTTCCTTCCCTCTGGAGGTCTCTGGGCACCCCCCTCCACCATCCCTTCTCCGTCCCCGCTGGGCTGCCCTGTTTTTTCCACCAGGGTGTCTGCAATTCAATGTGTCCAGTGCCCAAGTCCGAGGGCCCCTTGCCCACTGCCCAGGCCAGCTCCCCTGCTCCGTCCAAGGTGCTCAGGCCCCGAATCCCGGATCCTTGCTGGCTTCCTTTCGCTCACATCTGCCCGCATCCATGAGGAATCCCTGCTGCCTCCTCCCTGCAGGCCCAGGATCCATCTTCTTCCCCAGCATGCACCCACATGCCAGGGTCTCTTCCTGGTCTCCTATCCACCAGGCAGCCAGCCCAGGTCAGAGCCTGGAGCTCCTCTGCCCCAGCCAGCCAGGGCTCACCAAACCCCGGATCCTGCCTGGCTTCTGAGGCCCTGTGGGGCTGCCCGCCATCCCTTGGGCCTCCACTGCCTCCTGGCTCCTCCCTGGATGGCCGAGCTGGCTCCAGTCCGTGATGGCCCCTGCCCTCTTCAGCCTGGGCCATGCTAAGGGCATCACACACCCACTCCCGCCCTCACTTCTCTCTCCACACCTGCAAGGCCTTCCCTGGCCGCCTCAGCATCCCTGTGTCCCATTGGCCCCCTGTTCTTCACAGTGGGGACGGGTTCCCATGTGCACAGCTGTCTCTCTGCCCCGGTCTCCTCCTGGCATGCAGCCTCCTCGACGGCTTGCTATTCCATGGTGGAATTGCAGGGCTGCAGCAGGGCCTGGCTCAGGGCAGCAGCCCACGGGAGCGTGGGGACTGGGATTGGGAGGACGGGAGAAGGAGAGGAACCAAGGAGAGATGGAGACAGAGTCCCCCATCAGAGAGAGCAGGGAGAGGGGGTGAGGTGGCCTCCCTCTGCCCCTGGACCGTGTAGGAGGGCAGGTCCCCCAGAGTGGCAGGTCCCCCGGAGTGGCAGGGACTTAGCAGTGTGCACTCCCCACTGTGCCGCCTGCAGGACCCACAGAGTTTGGGGGTCACTGGGCACACACGCCCAGGCAGCGCTGAGGGTGGACATCCTGTTGCTTTCAGGGGCCTCCTGGAGGTGGCCTGTCTTCACCTGTGAGGTGGGCATGGCATACGCACCAGCTGCCACCTGCCCACGGGTCCTGCTGCAGCTGGGCCCAGCTGGAGAGGTGTGCAGGATGTGGGATCCCTGTGCCAGGACCTGAAGGTTGAATAGCAGATCATCAGGTGACACAGGGTGGCCTTGATTTCAAAGGCCACTGCCTGGAACTGAGACGGTGACAGGGCACCGGCCTGGGATGGCCCGGTCACAGCCACGCTCCAATTTTGCCCTCTGAGGCAGTGGGTGGGGTCAGGTGTCGCCACCATGGTTCTAGGTGAGAGCTGCGGCCAGGGGTGGAGTCACTCATTCAGGAAACTGCCGTGGGGTTTGCAGACAGGACTCCCAGGCACCAGACCACAGCCCCCTTCCCAGCTCTGCAAGGAGTTGTTGAAAAGCAGTAATGTTTAGTGTTTTATTGTCATCAGGAAAGTGAAACAGATTCGTTATTCAAAGTATAGAAGAATAGGCCAGGCGTGGTGGCTCATGCCTGTAATCTCAGCACTTTCGGAGGCTGGGGTGGGCAAATCCCTTGAGCCCAGGAATTTGAGACCACCCTGGGCAACAGGATGAAACCCCATCTCTACTGAGAGAGAAAAAAAAAGGAGCCGGGTGTGGTGGTGCACGCCTGTGGCCCCGGGTACTCTGGAGGCTGAGGCAGGAGGGATGACTTGAGCCTGGGAGGTCGAGGCTGCAGTGAGCTGTGATTGTGCCACTGCACTCCAGCCTGGGTGGCAGAGTGACAGTGAGACTCTGTCTTTAAAAAAAAAGAGAAAAGAAAAGACAAAGGGACTTAGAGGTATAGAAAAGTAAAAAAAGAAAATCAATTGGACTACCCCTGTCAATATTTTGTAGTAAATTTTTGCTGCTATTTTCCCCATGTGCTGTGTGGTGTGTGGTGTGTGGTGTGTGGTGTGTGGTGTGTGGTGTGCTGTGTGTGGTGTATGTGTGGTGTGTGTGGCATGTGTGTAGTGTATGTGGTGTGGTGTGTGTGCTGTGGTGTGCTATGTGTGGTGTGTGATGTGTGTGGTGTGTGTGTATGACGTGCCTGTGGTGTGGTGTGCTGTGTGTGGTGTCAGTGTGTGTGGTGTATGTGTGATGTGCTGGTGTGTGTGGTATGTGGTGTGTGGTGTGTCTGTGGTATGTATTGTGTGTGGTGTGTAGTGTGTGTGGTGTGTGTGTGTGGCATGTGTGGTGTGTTTAGTGTTTGGTGTATTGTGATGTGTGTGGCGTGGTGTGTGTGGTGTGCATGTGGTGTGTGTGGCATATGTGGTGTTTGTGTGGTGTATGTGTGTGTGGTGCGTGTGTGTGGCATGTGTGGTATGTGTGGTGCGATGTGTGCTGCATGTGGTGTGTGTGGTGTTTGTGTGCTGCATGTGGTGTGTGGTGTGTGTGGTGTGTATGATGAGGTGTGGTGTGTGTGGTGTATGTATGGCATGTGTGTGGTGTG
This sequence comes from Homo sapiens, assembly GCF_000001405.40. Taxonomy (NCBI): domain Eukaryota; kingdom Metazoa; phylum Chordata; class Mammalia; order Primates; family Hominidae; genus Homo; species Homo sapiens. The sequence goes on from NW_021159999.1 coordinate 6,940, forward strand.
TATGGTGAGGTGTGGTGTGTGTGGTGTGTATGGTGAGGTGTGTGTGTGGTGTGTATGGTGAGGTGTGGTGTGTGTGGTGTGTATGGTGAGGTGTGTGTGTGGTGTGTATGGTGAGGTGTGGTGTGTGTGGTGTGTATGGTGAGGTGTGGTATGTGTGGTGTGTGTGGTGTGCATGTGGCGTGTGTGGTGTGTATGATGAGGTGTGGCGTGTGTGGTGTGTGTGGTGTGTGTGGCATGTGTGTGGTGTGTATGGTGAGGTGTGGTATGTGTGGTGTGTGTGGTGTGTGTGTGGCATGTGTGTGGTGTGTATGGTGAGGTGTGGTATGTGTGGTGTGTGTGGTGTGTGTGTGGCGTGTGTGTGGTGTGTATGGTGAGGTGTGGTGTGTGTGTTGTGTGTGTGGCGTGTGTGGTGTGTATGATGAGGTGTGGCGTGTGTGGTGTGTGTGGTGTGTGTGGCATGTGTGTGGTGTGTATGGTGAGGTGTGGTATGTGTGGTGTGTATGGTGTGTGTGGCGTGTGTGTGGTGTGTATGGTGAGGTGTGATATGTGTGGTGTGTGTGGCATGTGTGTGGTGTGTATGGTGAGGTGTGGTGTGTGTGGTGTGTATGGTGAGGTGTGTGTGTGGTGTGTATGGTGAGGTGTGTGTGTGGTGTGTATGGTGAGGTGTGTGTGTGGTGTGTATGGTGAGGTGTGGTGTGTGTGGTGTGTATGGTGAGGTGTGGTATGTGTGGTGTGTGTGGTGTGCATGTGGCGTGTGTGGTGTGTATGATGAGGTGTGGCGTGTGTGGTGTGTGTGGTGTGTGTGGCATGTGTGGTGTGTATGGTGAGGTGTGGTATGTGTGGTGTGTGTGGTGTGTGTGTGGCATGTGTGTGGTGTGTATGGTGAGGTGTGGTATGTGTGGTGTGTGTGGTGTGTGTGTGGCGTGTGTGTGGTGTGTATGGTGAGGTGTGGTGTGTGTGTTGAGTGTGTGGCGTGTGTGGTGTGTATGATGAGGTGTGGCGTGTGTGGTGTGTGTGGTGTGTGTGGCATGTGTGTGGTGTGTATGGTGAGGTGTGGTATGTGTGGTGTGTGTGGTGTGTGTGGCATGTGTGTGGTGTGTATGGTGAGGTGTGGTATGTGTGGTGTGTGTGGCATGTGTGTGGTATGTGTGGTGTGTGTGGCATGTGTGTGGTGTGTATGGTGAGGTGTGGTGTGTGTGGTGTGTGTGGTGTGTGTGGTGTGTGTGTGGCGTGTGTGGTGTGTATGGTGAGGGGTGGTGTGTGTGGTGTGTGTGTGGCGTGTGTGGTGTGTATGGTGAGGTGTGGCGTGTGTGGTGTGTGTGGTGTGTGTGTGGCGTGTATGGTGAGGTGTGGTGTGTGTGGTGTGTGTGGTGTGTGTGTGGCGTGTGTGTGGTGTGTATGATGAGGTGTGGTGTGTGTGGTGTGTGTGTTGTGTGTGTGGCGTGTGTGGTGTGTATGATGAGGTGTGGCGTGTGTGGTGTGTGTGGTGTGTGTGGCATGTGTGTGGTGTGTATGGTGAGGTGTGGTGTGTGTGGTGTGTGTGTGGCGTGTGTGGTGTGTATGGTGAGGGGTGGTGTGTGTGGTGTGTGTGTGGCGTGTGTGGTGTGTATGGTGAGGTGTGGCGTGTGTGGTGTGTGTGGTGTGTGGCGTGTGTGTGGTGTGTATGGTGAGGTGTGGTGTGTGTGGTGTGTGTGGTGTGTGTGTGGCGTGTGTGTGGTGTGTATGATGAGGTGTGGTGTGTGTGGTGTGTGTGTGGCGTGTGTGTGGTGTGTATGATGAGGTGTGGTGTGTGTGGTGTGTGTGTGGCGTGTGTGGTGTGTATGGTGAAGTGTGGTGTGTGTGGTGTGTGTGTGGCGTGTGTGTGGTGTGTATGGTGAGGGGTGGTGTGTGTGGTGTGTGTGGTGTGTGTGGCGTGTGTGTGGTGTGTATGGTGAGGGGTGGTGTGTGTGGTGTGTGTGTGGCGTGTGTGGTGTGTATGATGAGGTGTGGTATGTGTGGTGTGTGTGGTGTGTGTGTGGCGTGTGTGTGGTGTGTATGGTGAGGGGTGGTGTGTGTGGTGTGTGTGGTGTGTGTGTGGCGTGTGTGTGGTGTGTATGGTGAGGGGTGGTGTGTGTGGTGTGTGTGGTGTGTGTGTGGCGTGTGTGGCGTGTATGGTGAGGGGTGGTGTGTGTGGTGTGTGTGGTGTGTTGTGGCATGTGTGTGGTGTGTATGGCGAGGGGTGGTGTGTGTGGTGTGTGTGTGGCGTGTGTGGTGTGTATGATGAGGTGTGGTATGTGTGGTGTGTGTGGTGTGTGTGTGGCGTGTGTGTGGTGTGTATGGTAAGGGGTGGTGTGTGTGGTGTGTGTGGTGTGTGTGGCGTGTGTGTGGTGTGTATGGTGAGGGGTGGTGTGTGTGGTGTGTGTGGTGTGTGTGTGGCGTGTGTGTGGTGTGTATGGTGAGGGGTGGTGTGTGTGGTGTGTGTGGTGTGTGTGTGGCGTGTGTGTGGTGTGTATGGTGAGGGGTGGTGTGTGTGGTGTGTGTGGTGTGTGTGTGGCGTGTGTGGTGTGTATGGTGAGGGGTGGTGTGTGTGGTGTGTGTGGTATGTGTGGTGTGTGTGGTGTGTGTGGCGTGTGCACACGTGTTCGAGGGCATGTGGGTGTTTCTGCCACTGGGCCCCCCCTCACTATTTTCTCCATCACACCCTTTCATGAGATCTTCTGCCATGTGACTCAGTGGTGTGTGGTTTGTGGTGTGTGTAGTGTGTCTTAGCCTGTGATCCCAGCACTTTGGGAGGCCTAGGCAGGAGGATCCCTCAGCCCAGGAGTTTGAGTACAGCCTGGGTCACACGGAGAGACCCCTGTCTCTACAAAACATTAAAAAAAAATGAGCTGGGCATGGTTGCTGGCGCCTGTGGTCCCAGCTACTCCCGAGGTTGGGATGGGAGACTGAGCAATAGAGCTAGACCTCCCGTCCCTGAAAAAAGAGAAAAAAAGCAGTAACCACGAAGTGTTACATTTTATAAAACAAGAGAAAGTGTGCAGACTGCACCTGGCTGTGCCCCTCCCACTGAAGAGTTGTTTGAAGGTCTCTGCCTTGGAAACCCCCACATTAGACAAACACCCTCGCCCATTCCTCTGATCAGGGAGGCACGAAGTAAAATTCCTGGGCCGAGGGGCTGCCCATGTGTCAGATGTTTTGTGTGTGGGTAAAAATTGCTACTGTATTTCCTTCTAGAATGGTAGTGGGGAAACTGACGGCCTTTTCCCTCCGTGTCATTAACATAAAAATCATTGCCAATTTAGTAGGTGTAAAGAGATGTCTTCGTCCTTTTAATTGTTACATTTGGAGCTTTGTGCAGTCACACATTTGACGGACTTGTTGGCTGCATTGTGTGAGTTGGTGATCCTGGCCATAGCCTGTTTTTTTTCCTAATGGGATGGCCGTCTTTCTTAAACGCATTTGCAGGAGCTCTTTATATTAATAATATAAAATCTTTTTCAATTGCGTGGATTCCGAATGTTTTCCCAAGATCATCTTTGTCCTTTAGTTTTGTCTTGGGCTACATAATTTACATTTGCAGTTGAACTTTCACTTTTTCCTTGGTGGTGGTCTTGAGGGTGTGTGTGTTGGGTGGTTTGAAGGGTGAGGCCTGGGAGGGGGGGCGCTGGGACAGTGGCCCCGGGCCAGGTGCGGTCATGGCGTGGCTGGGGCTGGGGGTTGGCTGCCCTTTGAGGCTCTGCTCTGCGCTCTTGGACGCTTTCCGGCTGCGGGTTGCGTGTTGGTCCGATGAACTCTTCCTGGAAGTGCGTTTCGTGGTAGGATGGTTCAGGGTCACCCCCGTTGGCTCCTGTCAGCCTAAACAGGACATTCTGTTGCAGTAACACAAATTATGCTTTGTTTGTTGGAAAATCGGCAAGATATGCAAGTGTGTGTGTGAGCTTGTGCAAGGAAATGGGGCAAGAGTCACCCAATTAGCAGTTTTAAAAAGCTCATCCTTAAAAATCCACTTCCTTTGGCGTCTGAGGGGCTGGGCGCCTCGCCCAGGGCTCAGCTCTCCGGTGTCATGGGAAGTCCTTCTGAGGGGGTCACAGTGAGCACGAGGGGAGCTAGCCCAGGGCAGCAGCCCACGAGCATCCAAGGCAGACAGGACCCTGGATCCCCATGCCTCTGTTCCCCCTGACCTAGCCCCCCTGCCCCCAAAAAAGCAGGCAAGCCAGGGGCTCCCTGAGCTTTTCCAGTGCATTCCATCAAGGGGCATGGAGGTCACGTTTGCTCTGGACAAGATCACACCTGAATGGTGCCAGAAACCTGCTTCCTAGCACAGTGTTCTGGGTGGTGGGCACTGCTGAGGCTTCTCTTCAGACCCATTTTACAGATGGGCATGCTGAGGTCAGGTAATGGGGCCAATGTGCCTGACACCCAGAGCAGGCCTGGGAGCGAGAGGCCCAGGCAGGGCAGGAATCCCTTCTGCTTCTGCCCCAGTGCTTTCTGCCCCACCGTCACAGGACTGCGGGGAAAACAGCGAGATGCAGGTCCTGCCATCTATCGGCAGCCTAAGAAAAGGCCGGGGAGCCGACCTCTGCCTGTGGAGGAACCCCGACTTCCCACTACTGAAATGAGGTTGGTTTGGCCGGGTGCAGTGGCTCATGCCTGTAATCCTGGCACTTTGGGAGGCTGAGGCGGGCGGATCACGAAGTCAGGAGTTCAAGACCAGCCTGGCCAACATGGTGAAACCTCGTGTCTACTAAAAATACAAAAATCAGCTGGGCGTGGTGGCAGGCACCTGTAATCCCAGCTACTCAGGAGGCTGAGGCAGGAGAATCACTTGAAACCGGAAGGTGGAGGTTGCAGTGTGCCAAGATTGTGCCACTGCACTCTAGCCTGGGGGAAAGGGCAAAACTCTGTCTTTAAAAAAAAAAAAATGAAGTTAGTCCCTGTTCCCAGTTTCTGCCTCCGTGGGATGGGACAGAGCTTCTGGGATAGGGTCGCAGATACTGAGAACATAGTCACTGGCACCCAGCAGGTGTTTGGTTGGTGGTGACGATGCTGTAGGACAGGCAAGGGATGCATTTGTACATGTTGATTGTTCTAACGTGAATGCCTCCTGGAAGATGGCGCCGGGGCTCTCTGCCTGGAGAGGGAGGAGTGATTTGATGGTTTTCCTGATGCACCTATCCGGCAAGTGCCCTCGTTCCCAGATGTGCAAAGCTTCAGCCATCTGGAAAGTGGTCAGTTGGCCAGCCCCCTCAGGATGCGCTGGAGCCAGTCCACCTTGCACCTCCCAACCACCCCCCTGGGTGACGAGGATCGTGGCCAGGCCCAGGTCCTTGGACTCCTGAGGACCAGGAAACTTGGAACGGAGGACCTGCCCTGGGGTCCTGAGGCCTGGTAGCAAGTCCTGGCTCCATCTTTCTCCAGCTGGGCGATCCCTTGTCAGAGCCTCAGTGTTCCCATCCATAAAATGGGCCTGATGAACGCTGTCTGTTTGTCCCACCCCCCTTAATGAGAACCGTGAATGGCAGTGTCAGTTTCTGAGGTCACCTTTTAGGTGCCATCCAAATGCAGAGCCTTCTGACCCCGAGTGTTTGTCCTGTCCCTCCTGTGGGTCCACAGCTCCTTCTTGCCTGCTGCCTCCTGGTCCTCCCAGGTCCCCGGGGAGGTCACAGACGCTCCTCCAGCTGTCTGCAGAGTCTGGGTCTTGGATTATGGAAGCTTGGGGTGGCCGTCTGGGAGGACACGCTGGCTCCCATACCCACGTGGCTGCCTCATTTCCACCGGCTGAGCCAGCAGACACGTGGCTCCAGGCCAGCGCCCAAAGACTTTCCATGGTGGGGGGCAGGGCGGAGGCTCAGGGAAGCCGACAAGGGGCTCTGAGCCCACATGCTGCTGCTCACGTCCAGAGCCCAAACTCGGGATACGCTGGGTGTGGGGGACACAGCGTCCTCAGGACGGAGGCCTGGAGCTTCTGACCTGCTGGGTGGGCAGTGGGAGGGGGCTAGAGGCAGGGTTGTCTCCAGCCTTTCCAGACAGGAGAGGGGTGACCCCAAAGTCCCCCTCGAGCCAGCCACAGCCGGCCTTGGAGCTGGAGTCCTGACCCCCGACCAGGTTTGAGGCTGAGCTAAGAGGACATTATGGGGGCTCAGAGCCCAGGGGACCCCCCACACCTCAGGCTGGGCAAGGGTTGGCAGGGCGCCTGACCTAGCTCCAAAGCTTCCAGGTACTTGGAGGGTTTGATTTTTCTTCCCATCCTCCCTGCCCGGAATTCAATTAATCAATAGAAGAAATCCCTGCGTCACACCTCTCTGAGCCCCGCAGGCTCCTACAAGACCGATTAACACAAACATCAATTTCTTGGGCTGCGCGCCTCCGAAAACACGGTACTTTTTCAGATTGAATTGCTACTGTGTGCCCGGTGTAAATAAAGGAGAGGGAGTAATATGGAAGATTTGTGACTGTGTGCGGCGCGGCTCCGCTTCCCACTCCGCCGGTGCTATTAGGCGCTGCAGTGCGGGGTGGAGGGAGGGAGAGACAGAAGGAGAGTGGAGGGACAGAGAGGGGGCAGACCACTGGGCAGGGCGAGAGAGGACAGAGAGAGAGGGAGAGAGAGAGATGACAGGGAGGGAGACACATACACTCAGACAGAGAGACAGACACAGAGGGAGATACAGAGACAGAGGGAGAGTGGAGAGGCAGAGAGGGCGGGAGACCATTGCGGGGATGAGAGAGGACAGAGAGAAAGCAACAGAGAGAGAGAGGCAGAAATTGAGAGTGGTGGAGGGAGGTTGGGAGCAAGAGAGAGAGAGAGAGAGGAAGAGGGAGAGAGAGAGGAAGAGGGAGAGAGAGGGAGGTGAAAAGAGAGCAAGGAGGTGCGGAAAGGCAGGCGAGGGAGTGGGCGTCCGGCGCAGGGTGGCTGGGAGGGATAGCTAATTGCTTATTCATTTTTCCTGGCAGTCTGAAGGGGGTGGCAGCTGAGAGGGGGGTGGCACTGCTGGTCTTGAAGCAGCTGCTGGTGGGGTGGCCGAGGTGGCCCTGCCATGGGAGGACGGGCTCTCCTGCTCCCTCCCTCCTTCCATCTGGTGCAAAGCAGGGCCTGATGGAGCAGGTCCAACCCAGGCGCGTGGTGGGAGTAAGGACCCGAAGGTCTTGCTCAGAGGCCGAGAAGGCCAAGTCCGGAGCAGGGAGACTTGGTGAGACCCCGGGTGAGGCCCAGGGCACTGAGCAGAGTGGGATAGGGGCTCCTCCTCGCAGCCACACGCCCCCCTGCTGGGCTCCCTGTGGCTAGTGCCCTCCCCAGTGTGTCCCCAAGGCCCTGGGCCTCTCCGTCCTACCATGCGCCTCTCCATCCCACCGTCCACCTCCCACCTCCCCGCAGCCGGGTTCCAGACCGGCGCTGTACAGGAACCAGAATGCGTGTGAGCCACACAGCAAAGTTTCAATTTTGTAACAACCATCTACAAAGGGAAAACGGGACAGGTGCCATTAGTTTCAATAATGAGCTTTGAACTCAACGTACTCCAAATGCAGTCATCTCAACAGGTAATCAACACAGAACAATGCCTCCTGCAATCACTTTTCATGTTGAGTCTTTGGGACAGGGCTGTATTTCATAGGCACATGGTCCCCTTAAGAGCCGGCCACCTGCGAGCACTCCGGGGCCAGCGAGGCCAGCAGCCCCATGGTGGATGGTGCAGCTCTGGGCCCTGGTTCCAGCCCCTGTGTCCTGACGGTAAATGCTGAGGCCTCTCTGAGAGCGGATGCTGGGTCCTGGTGACAAAGCTGCCGGTGGCTCGTGGGTCTCCCCTTTACCCGTGAAGGGGCCGGCACAGTGCCCAGCATGGAGAAGCTCGTGGCAGAGAAAGAACTGCATGTTCCAGGGCAGAATTTCAGCCAGTTCAGCTCCGAGCCACCTGCTCTTGCCCCACTTCCCAACTGTGGAGGCCCCGGGAGCCTTCTGGGGGCTGAGCACGGGTCCCGGCAGGTCCCAGGCCTTGAGATTACTTCCATCCTTGCTGCCATCGGCTCTTGACCCTTGGTCCCTGCGTCGGCTCCTGTTGGGCGGCTTTGTGGGGCCGGGTTCTGGGTGTGGAGCGTGGCCTGGACTTCCCAGTCGTCCGAGTGGCTGGAAGCAGGGCCACTGCTCACAGCACTTCTCCCGCCTCTTCCCAAGGCTGACTCCTGTCCTTCTGTTCCCTCAGAATGGGGCTTGCAGCTTCGGGCAGGTGTTCACCAAGGACTCAACAGGTGGGGCCCTGACCCTGGAGCTTGAAGGCTGACGGTCCTACCTTCCCTCTGGAGGTGTCCCCCAAAGGGGGTGGTGGGGTCTTCCGTTTATGTATAACTTTTTAATTTAACAAAACACAGATTTTGTTGTATTTTTGAGAGGGTATCACTCTGTCAGCCAGGCTGGAGTGCAGTGGCGCAATCACAGCTCACTGCTGCCTCAACTTCCCAGGTTCAAGAGATCCTCCTGCCTCAGCCTCCCAAGTAGCTGGGACCACAGGCGTGAGCCACCATGTTCAGCTAATTAATTAATTAATTATTTTTTTTTTTTTGGTAGAGACAGGGTTCCTACCATGTTGCCCATGCTGGTCTCGAACTCCTGGGTTCAAGTCATCCTCCTGCCTCAGCCTCTCAAAGCACTGGGATTATAGGCATGAGCCACTGTGGCTGGGCCAAAACACAGACTTTAGCAGAGTTTATAGGAATCAGCGCCATTGTGGTGGTTAGAGAGGTGATAATGCCGCAGACCAGGCTCCCTTGGCAGAGAACTTGACTTTTACCACCTCCCTGCTATCCAGTGAGCCAGGAATTACTGTTTGCGGCCATCAGGAGAGGTCACTATGGCTGAGAGAGGGCAGCAGTCACGGGTGGGAAAATACCATGCTGGGCTGATGCCAGTGTCTCTGGACTCTCATTCCAGTGCTCTTTGCACAGCAGCGCACCCTATCTGGGGTCCCTTCCCCAAGGAGCTTCCCAAGAAGCTGAAACCACCAGCCCCATGGCATGGAGCTTTGAGAGTGCTGTCAGCAGGCACTCATTCACTCACTCATTTAGTCACTCACACATTCATTCATTCACTCATTCATCCTTTCAGTCATTCATTCGCCCATTCATTCATTCATCCTTTCAGTCATTCATCCACTCATTCATTCATCCTTTCAGTCATTCATTCACTCATTCACTCATCCTTTCAGTCATTCATTGACTCATTCATTCACTTATCCTTTCAGTCATTCATTCACTCATTCACTCACTCACTCATTTTTCACTCACTCATTCACTCATTTTTCACTCACTTTCAGGATTACAGGCTTGAGTCACCATGCCTGGCCCACTCATTCATTCTTTTGTTCAATTGTTCAACAGGTGTCCACAGACTTTGCTGCGTACCAAACACTGGGCCGATCTTTCAGATGCAGTGACGCAGGAATGATTATCCCCAGGTTTATATGAGAAAACCAAGGCTCAGAGAGGGTCAGAGACTTGCCTGAGGTCAGACAGCCAGAGAGCAGTGGGGTAGGAGGGACTGAACCCGGGCAGAGCTCATCTGAAAGCCCCTTGACCTGCCTTCTTAGAGTTTCACCCCCGCACTGGATTGGCCCCAACCAGCAGGCCTTCTGCTGCTCCGTCAGTGACATTGGGGGTTCTTGGTGGGATAGGGACAGCACGGGTCTCAGCAGGAGCACCAGGAGGAGGTGTGGCGAGTCGGGTTGGTGGGGGACACACCGAGAGGTGGGCTGGTGGGGGACACAGCGGGAGGTGGGCTGGTGTGGCTGGTGGGGGACACACTGGGAGGTGGGCTGGTGGGGGAGATGCAGCGGGGGTTCTCTGGGCTTCTGCATCTCTGCCCTGGGGTCAGTCCTGGTGGGGGCTCAGGGGAATGCAGAGACCTGGTTTACCATGAAACTCAGTCTCCTGGAGGAGCAGGTGACTGCCCAAGGCGTTCAGCAGCTACACCAAGCCAGGGCTTTGCGGGCTGTACCCTGGGACCTGGAGCCCCTCTGTTTCCCCCAGGACTTGAGCCCCCTGGGTTCACCTTGCTCAAGCCACCCAGAGAGGCCAACGGGAGGACTCAGGAGGAAGACTCTGAGGCTTCCTCTCTCCTGGGGCCTGATTTGGACAGCCTGAGGTTTAGATCTGCTGCTGTCTCCTCTTGCACAGGGCTGCTCTTACGGCAGATGACTGAGCTGCCCCCGCAGAGCTGCAGCGAAGCTGCGGGCACAGCTGCCTCCTTAAATGGCTGGAGCCCCCACTCTCTGCCCCTAGCCCCTTAAAATGAGCTCCTGCTGAAGTCAGGCCCTCGGCAGAGCCTTGGGTGGAAGGCGAGGGCTTCCGGGGAACTGTGCATTTCGAGTGGCCTCAAGTGAGTGAGTCAGCTTCTGCAGGGGGCTCAGGCAGCGGGCACTTAAGTGTGGCTAATTTGGTACAAGAACACGATGCCACTAGCAGGTTCTGCATCTTGGAGAAGCTTGGGGGCCATCAGCACAAAGGGGCTGGGGGAGGACGCTGCATCAGGGGCCTAGTGTGCGGGGGTGGTGAGTGCGACAGAGGCACTTGGGCTGGGGCCCTGCCAGCCACTGCCTCCTGCCAGGGCCTGGGCTGGGCACCTGTGGCCAGTGGGGACTCGTGGAAAAGGCACCCTCCCGCAGGGCAGGGCAGAGCCTCCTGGGAGCGGCACCCTGGGCGAGCTCAGTGTCCAAGGCAGGTCCCACACACCTGCCCACTGCCCTCACTCTCTCCCTCGCTTCCCTTTTTCGTCCCAGGAGTAACAGGAGGGGTCCAAGGTGAGCACGGTGAGGCAGGGGCTCTGGGTCATCCTCTGCCCGCCTTGCCCCATGAGCAGAGCCAGCAGCCATGCCAGGGTCACAGCTGGCTGTGAGGTGAAGCTGTGGTTCAGGACTTGGCATTTCTTCTCAAACATGTCCTTGCCTCTTGGTTCAGAAACACAGATGCCCCCTCAGGTTCCATAAGGAAAGTGAGAGTGAGAGCAGCGGGGTGATGCTGGCGCCACACACCAGACCCTGGCTCCCTATAGCACTGCTTCCTGCAGTAAGCCTTCCCGAGTCCTGGGGACACCTCCGGAAGTCTCCTGTCCCACTTCTGCTCTGACACCAGACCCTCCTGGCTGGGTGACCTTGGATAAGGAATCTTAATGCTCCCTACTCCAAAATGAGTGCCGTGCGCTCAGGGACATCAAGACTAGGAGGTGCTAACCCACTCTCCCTGGCCAGCAGTGAGGCCAGTAGACACAGAGCTACCCAGGGAAGGACCCGTCCCCCTTGGAGCATGGGTGAAGTGGGCCCTGGGTGCTAAGAGGGGCCCAGCATCAGGAAGACTGCAGCCCTAATGCCACCCCAGGCGGGATGGCCTGAGAGAGTCTGTGCTGGGAAGGCATTCAGGAAGGCCTGGGAACTCTGATACAGCCTCTCTCCTTCGAGGCGCTCTCTGGGGATTGGCCTGGGGCAGTGCAGAATCCCAGAGTCCCCGCCTATGTGTCCCCCAGCCCCTGCTTGTCTTGTCTGCCCAGGGCCACAGGGGAATGGTTAACGGCAACGGAAATTACAACATATTGGAATTGAATGAAAATTAAAACGCAACATATTGGCTGGACACAGTGGCTCATGCCTGTAATCCCATCCTAGCACTTTGGGAGGCCAAGGCAGGAGGATGAGTTGAGGCCAGGAACTCATCCTGGGCAACATAGTGAGAACCTGTCTCTTAAAAAAACAGTGGGTGCAGTGGCTCACACCTGTAATCCCAGCACTTTGGGAGGCTGAGGTGGGTGGAGCCTTTGAGGTCAGGAGTTTGAGACCAGCCTGACCAACATGGTAAAACCCCATCTCTACTAAAAATAGAAAAATAGCTGGGCATGGTGGTGCATGCTTGTAATCCCAGCTACTTGGGAGGCTGAGGCAGGAGAATTGCGTGAACCCAGGAGGTGGAGGTTGCAGTGAGCCGATATCGCGCCATTGCACTCCAGCCTGGGCAGCAAGAGCAAAACTCTGTCTAAAAATATAATAATAATAATAACAGCAACAACAACAAGAAGCAAAAAACACAACATATAAACTTTTTTTTCTTTTTTTTGTTTTGAGATGGAGTCTCACACTGTCGCCCAGGCTGGAATGCAATGGCACCATCTTGGCTCACTGCAACGTCTGCCTCCCAGGTTCAAGCAGTTCTCCTGCCTCAGCCTCCTGAGCAGCTGGGATTACAGGTGCCCGCCACCACGCCCAGCTAATTTTGTATATTTTTAGTAGAGACGAGGTTTCACTACATTGGCCAGGCTGGTCTCGAACTCCTGACCTCGTGATCCCACCTCGGCCTTCCAAAGTGTTGGGATTACAGGCATGAGCCACTGTGCCCGGCCCCATTTTTTTTTTTTTCAATCCTAAAAATTAGTTCTGACTTTAGAATAGAGATTCTGAATATTTTTAAGGCATTATTATATAGTTGAAAAATAAGGTCAAGATCAGATTAAGCTTTGATAGTCCAAGTTAGCAAAAATACTAATAATGCCTCTACATGGATTTCCTTGAATCTTGTCCTGTGTTTTACTGATATTGAAAGTGTTTTTTATGTTGCTGTGCTTAATTTTATTTAAAACGTTTTTTCTCTGTTTTTTTAATTTAAGGAAAGCCATGCTATTAAACAAACAAACAAACCTATGAGCTAAGCTCTCGGGTTATATTTGAAAATAAAAAGTGTTTCCTGGACTGAAAGAGCTCATAAGCTAATTGAGGAAATACACATATAAATAACTCGAATGAAGGAATTAGGTAAAAAAAATGAGATTCTTCCTGTTTGCACATCTTCATGCCTTAACAACAACCAAAAAAATCTGCACACACACAACCACAGGAAAAAGGAAGTCCTCTTGCAGTCTTCTTATCTCATCATGTACTTGATTACACAAACTAGAAATCTAACGTTCCTCAACCCTCGCCCCCAAATCTAGTCTGCCCCATGATAGTTGATGTGACCACTTTACACTGGTTTTTCCATCGACTTTCCTAGAGCAGCTGCCATCACCACCAACACCAGTGCCAGCTTCTTAATCCACATCATTGCTTACATGATTAAAGTGGCTTCTGGCTGGGCGCGGTGGCTCACACCTGTAATCCCAGCACTTTGGGAGGCTGAGGTGGGTGGACTGCCTGAGGTCAGGAGTTTGAGACCAGCCTGGCCAACATGGCGAAACCCCATCTCTATTAAAAATACAAAATTAGGCCAGGTGCGGTGGCTCATACCTGTAATCCCAGCACTTTGGGAGGCCGAGGTGGGTGGATCACCTAAGGTCAGGAGTTTGAGACCAGCCTGGCCAACATGCTGAAACCCCGTCTCTACTAAAAATACAGAAAAAAAAAAAATTAGCTGGGCCTGGTGGTGAGCACCTATAATCCCAGCTACTAGGGAGGCTGAAGCAGGAGAATTGCTTGAACCCAGGAGGCAGAGGTTGTAGTGAGCCGAGATTGAACCATTGCACTCCAACCTGGGTGAAGAGCAAAAACTCCATCTCAAAAACAAAAAACAAAAACAAAAACCCAACAATGACAAAAATTAGCCGGGCATAGTGGTGGGCACCTGTAATCCCAGTTACTCAGGAGGCTGAGGCAGGGAGAACTGCTTGAACCCAGGAGGTGGAGGTTGCAGTGAGCTGAGATCACAACGTTGCACTCCAGCCTGGGCAACAGAGTGAGACTCTGTCTCAAAAAAAAAAAAAAAATACAGTGACTTCTAACTACTTTGCCCACATGTGCTCTGGCACCTCTGCCTCTACGGAGGGAAGCTGCAGTGACCTTTCTAAAATACAAACGCCATTGCCTCATCCCTTTGCTTAAAACTCTTCAAATATTGCCTATTGTTCTTTGTATTAATACTAACTTTCTTTTTTATCCTTATCATTATTTTTTCTTTTGAGACAGGGTCTTGCTCTGTCACTCAAGCTGGAGTGCAGTGGCGCAATCACATCTCACCGCTGCCTCGAGCTCCAGGGCTCCAGTGATCCTCCTGCCTTAGCCTCCCGAGTAGCCAGGAGCACAGGTGTGTGCCACCATGCCTGGCTAATTTTTGTATTTCTCAGTAGAGATGGGGTCTTGCTGTGTTGCCCAGGCTGGTCTCTAACTCCTGGCCCCAAGTGATCCTCCTGCCTCGGCCTCTCAAAGTGCTGGGATTACAGGTGTGAGCCACTGCACCTGGCCGGTATCAACTTTTCCTACCTGACTTGCAGAAACCTGCACAGCTTGGCCACTGCTGACCCCTCCAGCTTCATCACAGGCCAGAAGGCCCCTCCTCTTCCTCATGCAACCCCTTGAAGGTCCTGCTTCTGTCAAGGGCTCTACGCTTGCCAGTCCCACTGCCGTGCTGGTGCTCTGCACTGCGCTAGCTCTTCCTCAGCCTCCAGAGGCTGACCCATGCTGCATCCTCCTTAACCTCTGCCTCACAGCATCGTATATTTATTTATGTGATAGTTTGATGAATAGCCATCTCTCTGACCAGACTAGCATAGTGCTTTATATACACTAAGCATCACAATGTTTGTCAAATGGATCAATAGATGACTAAAAAATTAAACTGGGATTGTAAAGTGGGATTCTGGGGGTCTTCGACAACTTCATGGAAAATGCCTATTATGAATAAGCTACATAGGAATTTCAAAGTTTTTTGCCCAAAATAAACTATACTGACTTCTTATAACATGTCTGAACAGAACATATTGACTTTGTGTGATATAGCTAAAGCAATGTTTAAGGGAAAATTTATAGCATTAAATGCTTATATTAATAAAAGGAAATCAATGATCTATGCTTCCATCTTTAGAAACTAGAAAAAGAAACAAATTAAACTTAAAGCAGGCTGGGCGCGGTGGCTGACTTCTGCAATCCCAGCACTTTGGGAAGCCGAGGCGGGCAGATCACTTGAGGTCAGGAGTTCGAGACCAGCCATGCAAACATGGTGAAACCCTGTCTCTACCAATACAAAAAATTAGCTGGGTGTGGTGGCAGTGCATGCCTGTAATCCCAGCTACTGGGGAGGCTGAGGTAGGAGAATTGCTTGAACCTGGGAAGCGGAGGTTGCCGTGAACCGAGATTGTGCTGTTGCACTCCAGCCTGGGTGGCAGAGCGAGACTTTGTCTCAAAAATAAAAAACAAAAAACAACCTTAAAGGAAACAGGTGGAAGGAAACACTAAAGACAAGAGCAGAAGTCCATGAAATAGAAAATGGAAAAGCAATAGGAAAACATAATCAAGGAAACCAAAGTTGCTTCTATGAAAAGATTAATATAATTGACAAGGCTCTGATCAGACTGATCAAGAAAAAAAGAGACACAAATTACCAATATCAGAAATGAAAGAGGGGATATCATTACAGATCCTACAGATATTTAAAGGTTAATACAGAACATTATAGGCTGGGCGTGGTGATTCATACCTGTAATCCCAGTGCCCTGAGAGGACAAAGCAGGAGGATCACTTGGGAGGCCAGGAGTTTGAGACCAGCCTGGAAACATAGCAAGACCCTGTCTCTACAAAAAAAATTTTTTTTAATTAGCTGGGCTTGGTGGTTGTGCCTGTCATCCCAGCTACTCAGGAAGCTAAGGCAGGAGGATTACTTGATCCTGGGAGTTAGAGGCTACAGTGAGCTGTGATCGCACCACTGTACTCCAGCCTGGGTGACAGAGCAAGACCCTGTCTCAAAGAAAAAGAAAAAAAAAAAAAAAAGAAAGTTGGTATTAAAACAATAAAACGATAGAAAATATTTGGAGAGTTTTAAGCAGGGGGATGATGCAGTCAGGTTTGTGACTTTTGGAAGGTTCATTCCAGCTCCCCTCCATAGAGTAGATAGGAGAGTTGCTGGAGCAAGGTGGGCAGAGTAGTTAGAAGCCACCTTAATCATGTAGGCAATGATGTGCATTAAGGAGCTGGTGCTGGCGCTGGTGCTGGTGGTGATGGCAGCTTCTGGAGGAAAGTCTGATGGGATAAACAGTGTAAAGTGATCACATCAACTAACGTAGGGACAGACTAGATTTGGGGGTGAGGGTTTGAGGTTTCTGGTTTCTGGTTTCTGTAATTAGGTAGATGATGAGATAGAGAACACTGCAAGAGGATTTCCTACAAAAACCAAGCCAACAGACAAATAGCTGGGCATGATTGTGTGGGCCTATAGTCCCAGCCACTTGGTAGGCTGAGGTGGGAGGATTGCTTAAGCCCAGGAGTTAGAGTCTGCAGTGAGCTATGATCGCACCACTGCACTCCAGCCTGGATGACAGAGAGAGACCTTGTCTCTAAAGAAATAAACAAAAAGAATGTTACAAACAATTTTATGTTCCCACATTTTACGACTTAGAAAAAATGGGCAAATTCCTTGAAAGACAGTTACCAAAGCTCATTCAAGAAAAAATAGATGGTACCATATAAATTAAAGAAATTAAATTTGTTGTTAAAAACCTAACAACAATACAAACTCTGGGCCTAGACGACTTTCCTTGTGAATTCTACCAATACTTAAGAAAGAATTAATGCCAACTCTACACTATCTCTTCCAGAAAATGGAAGAGGAGGGAACAATTACCAACCCTTTTTATGAGGCCAACATTACATTGATATCAAAACCAGACATTGCAAAAAAAAAAAAAAAAAAAAAAAGAAAAAGAAAGCTATAGAGCAATATTCCCCATGAGCAAAGACACGTAAATCCTCAATAAAATACCAGCAAATCAAATCCAGCAATATATGAAAAGGATAACACATCTGACCAATGAGGTTTATGCAAGGATGCAAGTCTGGTTCAACATTCAAAAAACAATCAGGGCTGGGTGCAGTGGCTCGCATCTGTAATTCCAGCACTGGGAGGCCAAGGTGGGTGGATCACTTGAACCCAGGAGTTGGAGACCAGTCTGGGCAACAGGCAAAACCGTGTCTCTATGAAAAATAAAAAAAATTAGATGGGCATGGTGATGCACACTTGTAATCCCAGTTACTCGGGAGGCTGAGGTGAGAGGATCACCTGAGCCCGAGGAGGTTGAGGCCGTAGTGAGCCACTGCACTCTAGCCTGGGCAACAGAACGAGACCCTGTCTCAATAATAATAATAATAATAATAATAATAATAATAATAATAATAATAACAATAATCAGACCAGGTATGGTGGCTATAACCCCAGCACTTTTAGGGGTTAAGGTGGGAGGATCACTTGAGACCAGGAGTTGGAGACTAGCCTGGGCAACAAAGTGAGACCCCTATCTCTACAAAAAATTAAAAAAATTAGCTGGGTGGGGGAGCACACCCATGGTCCTGGCTATATGGGAGGCTGAAGCAGGAGGATTGCTTGAGCTGAGGAGGTTGAGGCTGCAGTGAGCTGTGTTTGTGCCATTGCACTCCAGACTGGGTGACAGAGAGAGAGAGAGAGACCCTGTCTCAAAAAAAAAAAAGGAATTAATGTAATTCATCATACCAACAGATTAAAAAAGAAAAACCATATGATCATCTTAATAGATATTGAAAAAAGCATTTGACAAAATTCAACATCTACTCATGAAAAAAACCTCTCAGCAAACCAGTAAGAGAAAGGAGTTTCTTCAACCTCATAAAAGGCATCTACAAAAAACCTGCAGCTAATATCTAATTAATAATGAAATACTAAATATTTTCCAAGATCAGAAAGAAAGCAAAGGTATGCAGTGTCATTATTGTACTGGAAAGCCTAGCCAGTGGAATAAGGCCAGAAAAAGAAATAAAAGATATACAAATTGGAGAGGAAGAAATGAAACAGCTTCTATTTCCATTCAATATGATTATCTATATAGAAAATCTCAAAAAATCTATGAAAAAGTTATTAGAACTAATATTAGTGTGCCAGGCATGGTGGTGTGCACCTGTAGTCTCAGCTACTCAACAGGCTGGTGTGGGAAGATCATTTGAGCTCAGGTGTTTGAGACCAGTCTGGGCAATAAAGTAAGACCCTTTCTCTAATAATAATAATAAAAGTAGCACACTGTTTCTGGTCACCTTTGAGACTGGCTTACTCTGGGTCTGTTGCTCCAGACTCAGCTTTCTTAGACAGAGCTCATTTTGTCAAGTGCAGTGGCTCATGCCTGTAATACCAGCTACTTGAGAGACTGAAGTGGGAACTCCAGGAGTTTGAGGCTGCAGTGAGCTATGATTGCACCACTGTACTCCAGCCTGGGCAACAGTGACCCCATCTCTAAAAAACCCAAAAAACCAAGTGTAGCGATGTCATAAGATACAAGGTCAATATAAAAAGAAGTAATTATAATTTTGTGGACCAGAAATGAATCCTTTGAAATTGAAATTAGAAAGGAAACAATACCATTTACCATAGCACCAAAACCTGTAAAATGCTTAGGTATAAATTTAACAAAACATGTACAATGTCATTATGCTGAAACTGAAAAACACCAATGAAAGAAATCAAAGAAGACCTGAATGGAGAGATATACTATGTTCATGAATTGAAAGACTCAATATGG
>NW_011332693.1:0-85284 GCF_000001405.40 Homo sapiens
ACTCTTCATGATCAGCTTCTCCTGGGGATTAGAAAATCCACAGCCTAAAGCCATCTCCTGCCCCACCCACCTCCACCATCTGCAGGAAGGAGACAGTGGAAGAGAGAGAGAGCCCCTCTTTTCCCTTGGGATACTGTCATGTTTGTGTCTAGCTGTGATGCCCAGAGCAGCTGCACCTCACCTCCACCCTGAAGATGCAGCCAATGGGCAGAGCTCATGGGATCCAGGAGAAGTGAAGTCAGAGCTTTGACATCCTGTCTGGAGCATGACCTGCCAGGATTTCTGGGCTGTGAGATGACAAATGTCCTTAAGTCTTAGATTAGTTTGAGTTGAGACCTTCTATTGCTTATAACAACATCATCCTAAGGATGTTTTTGGGAGTCTGGGTCTTATCCTGGGGCAATGGAGAATAGATAATGAATGCTGGTGGATGGATGGATGGATGGATGGATGGATGGATGGATGGATGGATCAATGGATGAATGGATCAATGGATGGGTGGGTGGATGGATGGATGGATGGATGGATGGATGGATGGATGGATGGATGATGGTCACTTCCTGGTCAAAAAATATGAGGCTGCTATAAAGGAAATGGATTGTCAGGAGGAGGCTTCGGGAGCCAGAAGCAGGAAGGATTGGAATCTAGTAGGAGTTAGGGGCCTACCAGTCCATGCCAGCCCCACCTTTGCAAAGAACATTCACCAGAGATGGGAAGCCCCCCCATGGAGCAGTCAGCCCATCCAGCTGCTGAGATGGCGCCATGACCTAGAGGGACATCAGGCATCCCGTGCAACACGGCTCCCACTGTTGTTGTCATGCCGACATGAGTAAAACTCTGCAGAGACGCAACATGCATTGTCTCTCCACCCACAGAGACAAGCGGAGTGTCCGTGTGTCTGACTGTGTCAGCACAGTCATTAAAAAGCATGTTTCATTGAAAACACAACCACATAATCACAGCCATCACCTCCTATTCCCTTTAATAAATGAAGAAGTAAATCTCAGACCTAAAGCCCAAGAAATGTCAGTGTGGGGACTTGGGAGAAGAAAACAGATCACAAAATTAGGGCATTTACTCTCCTGTATGATTGCTACTCCGATAAGCCACCCTGCCCGAGGCAGCCACCTTGTTTATCCTAAATGCTCATTAACTGTTGGGTCATGGACAACAGATGCTCAGGGTGCTTACGGGACATTGGTGTGGAGCTCATCTGAAATCTCTTGGGAGACCCTGTTGGGGCAGGAACGGGGAATCACACTTGGTTGGGCTTATATCACAGCTCTGTCATTTCCCGCCTGGATGATCTTGAGGTGGTCTCTCCTCGGCAAGTGTAACATGGCGGTTTGAGGGGGTCTTTTTTGTAAGGGTTAGGTCCATGTCAGGGAGAGCGGAGGAGCTGGGTTCCCTGGAGGAATTGAAAGCAGGGAGTTCAGTTGGGAGGGAGGGAGGGTATAATGTGTAGGTGACAGAAGGGCTGGCTTTTTCATGTTTTCTCACCACAATTTTTAGCCTCCTAAAATTTTATTCTCTGCCATAGATTCAATATTACATTGTTGGGTTCTGCTTAAACAGGTTATTTATCAGTCATCTGCAAAATGAGACCCACCGAGGCCTATCTCAGTTGTGAAAGTCCAATGAAGCACTTTCTGTGTTGGCCGGAGCTGAGCCACACCCCTCCCTAATCCACCTTATCACAAACCAAAATTGTCAGTGCCCTGATGGATTCACAGGCTTCCTCCAATTTCACCAGCACCCTCAGGTTCAGCTGGCCAGGGACACCCTCACGGTTCACCTCTGACTTCACACTCTTTGAGCCCCGTATGTCCCCTGCCCTTATGTAAGGGTCAGGGAAGGAGTGGGGAGGTGAGGAGCTTCAGCAGAGGTGCTTATATGGTCATTTTTCCATCAGCTTTCAAAACTCCCATGGTGTCTCCAAGACAGCAGCCTATGTGGCCAGCATTAGGATGAACCCAAAGTATTGGGTATTCACCCTGTGGAGTTTCCACAAGAGGATGGAAAAAGACAGAAAGTACATAAATGATGTCGGTTCCAATGAATCCACATATCTGAGAAGCTGGTGCAAAAGATGCCTCTGTTCTAGATCATTCTCTGCATCTCCTCTCTGACCTGATTGACCTAGAGTCCCCCTTACCCTGTTGTATATGTGGGGGTCTGAGATCGACTGCCCCTAATAGCAGAGGAAAAACCTTCCCAGGCCATTGATGGACATTATTCAAGAGTCCATCTCATAATTCCTGCAGGCTTGAGAGCAGAACATTGGTGTGAGCTCAGGAAAAGTCAGGGGATAAGAGATAGAGGGAGTAGAATTCAACAATAAACTTTCTACACGGCCTCCTCTCAGCCCCATCCAGGGGGGAGGGCTGGCAAGAGCTGGATAGGATGTCAGGCACCGTGCCAAGCAGGGAAACTGAGGCAGAGGCCAGCCCTGGGACTGGGCCTGCAGAGCAGAGGGAAGGGAAGACACCATCAAGTGCTCCAGAGGGTCTCCTGGGATGATGTCACGTTCACTGGCTCTGGAGGACTTCCAGGACATACTACCTAGTGGCAAGACTAGCATCTTATATCCTTAGGTTCCCATCATGGGCCCCAGCAACTCTGGTCGGGATGCTCAGGGGAAGGTGGCGACCAATGTTCCAAAGAACTCAAACATCATTCACCTGCTTCCCACTGGGCAGGCTATTCTATGAATACTCCTAGCACTGGGAACATGACATGCGGAGGGAGGGCCCGAGAGAGCCGTATAGATGACTGTGTCTTTTTAAAGACTGTGTCTAAAGAACTGTGTGGGCAGGGGCTTCTGAAGAAGATGGAAATGGAAATGTCCATTTCTGGTTTTGAAAGTACCAGAAATGAATAGCCTCCTGAAGACGGAAGAAGGCTCTGCTGGCTAATATTGATTATCTTTGGGGCCAGAAGTTGTTTTGCAGTTGTTGCTGATTGAAAGGTTTTCTATTAATTCCTACTGGCAGGCAGAATAAGAAATATCGAACACCTAATTGCCTTTGAATTAACGACACCCCCACATGTAATATCTTAACCAATGCACCACGCAATCGATGCTTTGCCGAACTAGGCAGGTTCGGAAGGCGATGGCAGTGCAGCCCCGGGCGGGGGCAGGGGAGCACTAAAGCACCGGGCAGTGGGCTCAATGCAGCGCCTCCTGCTCATTTTTGGCCATCAATAAAGTTGGTGGGCAGGAAGCCCCTCCCATCAGGGCCCTAGAAAACAGAGATGGGAGCACTTTGCTGGAGCGAGCTGTGGGCAAAGAATGGAGCACTGAACTAGGAGTCAGAGATGTGCATCCGAGGCTGCCTCCACCCTCATCCTACCCTCATCCTACCCCATGTGACCCCCTATGTCTCTGTCCCCTTGGCTGCAAAGTGAGACTCACTGAGAACCACCTCATTTGTGAAAATCCAGTGAAATAACTCATTGCTGTACATGAAAGCATTCTGTAATCTATGAATGCATCTACTCATTCATTTAAAAATGTTTATTGTCAGGGTGCAGTGGCTCACGCCCGTAATCCCAGCACTTTGGGAGGCCGAGGCAAGTGAATCACCTGAGGTTAGGAGTTCAAGACCAGCCTGGCCAACATGGTGAAACCCCACCTCTATTAATAATACAAAAATTAGCCAAGTGTGGTGGTGCATGCCTGTAATCCCAGCTACTCAGGAGGCTGAGGGAGGAGAATTGCTTGAACCCGCAAGTCGGAGGTTGCAGTGAGCCGAGATTGCACCATTGCACTCTAGCCTGGGCGACAAGAGCAAAACTTCGTCTCTCTCTCTCTCTCTCTCTATAGAGAGAGACAGAAAAGATAGGCAGGAAGCCAGGAAAGAAGGCAAGCAGGAAGAGAGGAAAGAAAGAAGGAAGGAAGGGAGGAAGGGAGGGAGGGAGGGAGAGACGGAAGGAAGGAGATAACTCTGTGATGATGCTGGAATGTACATGTCTCAGTGAGCAGTGACAGATGAATAGCCCTTTCTAAAGACCCCTTAAAGACACAAAATGGTAGGTAGCAGAGAGAGAGAGAGAGAGACGGAGTTTTGCTCTTGTCACCCAGGCTAGAGTGCAATGGTGCAATCTAATATATATATATTATTTATATATATTATTTATGTATATTATTTAATGTATATTAAATCTAAATATATATATTTAGCCCTAGTACATCAGCACTGTTCTGGGTATTAAGCTTACAGTCATGAGTAAACCAGACTGAATCCTTGCCCTTAGAGAGATTGGCTTCTAGTAGGGAGGCAGGTGATGAGACGAATAAGTAAAATGTGTAGCACTTCAGTGGCAAAAAAATATAAAGAGAAAACATACATCAGGGAAGGAGAAATAAAAGGATAAGAGGACAGAAATTGGAGACGGTGAGTAGAGACCAGGTTCTCCAAGAGTTTAGCTGTGAAGGGAAGGAACTGAGTGGGTTAGAGTTGGAAGGCAGGTGGGGTCATGGGAGGGGTTTACGTTTACAAGGAGAAAGTATGGCATGTTCGGGTTTTGATGGGAATGAACCCATGAAGAAAGAAACCTCCTTGAAGGAGGAGGAGGGGGAAATTTCTAGAACAGTGTCCTTTAGAGCAGGAAAGAGAAGATGGGATCTGGCACCAGGGATTGACCTTAGCTGGACACAGAGATGGTTTGTCCACAGTAATAGGAGAGAAGATCATGAGGGCCAACAGGCTGGTGGGTGGGGCGCTTACGGACATTCTTGGGTTGCTTTAATTTTCTCGTTAAAGTAGGTACAAGGCCTTCAGTGTTGAGCGGAGATGGGGCAGAGGCCCTGGGGCTTGCAGGGACAGGAGAGTGAACATATGGCCAGCTGTGTGTGGTCCTGGTCCAGCACCCCAAGGCAGACCAGGCACTGTGGCTGTGTCTTCCTTCAGCCACATTTGGTTTCCAGAGTGCAGGCCAGGGTAGGTAGCCGAAAGGTAGATTCAAGAGGGGTGTAGTTGACCCAGAAAGCACAAAAAAGCAAAAGGGGCTGGGGCGTGGAAGAGGATGTGAGGCAGTGGTCATAATGACAGCCCAGGGAATTCAAGCTGGGTGAGGATGGGGTGGGGAACAGTGAGAAGGACCAAGGGACAGAACCTCCTGATGGGTCAGTGGATCGTTGGATGGGAATAAACCTAGGCAGGGGGTGGTTGTTCAAATACCAGTTGTGGCTCTGGTTTGGGCAAATCTTCACTCAAGTATTTGCTGGGCTTTCCTATGAGGCCAACATTCCCCTAAGCACAATCAGGTGAGGAGATCATGGTTGGGTGGATGGGTAGATGGATGGCAACCCCCTCCAGGCTCCTATGGTCCCTTTAGAAGAAGACACTTTGGGGTACTTTTCAAATCACTCACCTTCCTGGAGCTTCTGACAAATAGTGCTGCAGGGACTACTCACATGTTTACACACAGCAGGCCCTGTTCTAAGCCCTGTGCATAGATTGTCCTTCTTAATTCTAACAAGATAATAAGGGAGAATTAATACCATTCTCCAGTCACATGGGCATGGCTGGGGAGGTTAAGTAATTTGCTCCCAGCCACAGAGGTGGCCTCAGAGCTGGACATGTGCCCAGGCAGTCTGACTCCAGGCTCTTAACCACTCCCCAGTACCCCTTCCACACGTGGAACCCCCACCCTGCTTGGAGGTAGTGATCCTACCTCGTTTACAAACTATTCATCGAGTCTATCCAATAAACCCATTTACTGGTAGAAAAACTGAGGCACAAAGAGGAGGAAGCCTTCCCAAAGGATGGTTTTTTGCAGTGCATTGAGGCAAAACCCTGCGTGACTTAGAGTCCCAAATCTGGGTTCAAATCCTAGCTTCACCTTTATTGGCTGAGAGATCTCCCCAGTGTATGGTAAATGCACCTGACAGCAATAACTTGTGCATCCCCTGAGAATGACCCTGTATGGAAGACGCACCTGAATGCAGTTCAGAGTTTGAGCTAAGGAATCGGGAATGCCCAACCCAGAGGCTCATTCCTCATCTATGAGGAACATCTGAGTCTCCGGCCTGTCCCGTGGAGTATTGGCCATACACGGAATTGAGGCCCTTTGTTTTGGGTCACATGAAGGTTGCCAGGTGGAGGTCGTTAGAGGGAGGGTGCTAAGTGAAAATGCTACATAAAGTGCATGTTTTTTGCAAGCGGTTGTGGCTCTCCTGTCCAGCCCACTGGCCCTGGACTCTCTCCTCTGTATGTAGCCCCAGTAAAACCCCATGTCTCATTCACTGGCTCTGGGTCTCTTCTTTGGCCTCTTAAACCTAATGCCATCCCCACTGGAGTCTATATGGATGTGGCATGACACCAAGTGACTCCAGCTCTCAGCTGAACTTGGCAACTTAACCAGGGAAGCCAGCCATCTGACCTCAGCCCATCCACTGCGCACATTGTGTGGTTTCTCTAAGGACGGAGCATCCTTGCTTCTCAAGAGGAGGTCAGAACCCCCTTCCCACCTCGCAATGGGGATGTGAAGGATGCCAGCACACATCTTTGTGTTGTCGGCTTGTAACATCTCAACCCTGTTGCAGGGGCGAGGGCATCTTCCCGCCAGCGTTATTTCTTTGCTCCCAACTCGTAAACCAGAACATAAACTCGCAAAGCTGCTCCCTTCTTTTCCTCCTTCCAGCAGGAAGCCTGCTAACACTTATAATTTGATCACCATTAGCACACCACTGTAGAGCATTGGGGTGGAATTTTTGAAGTGACTGTTCTAATTGCCATGGCTCAGCCCCCTGAATACTAAAAAAACCCCAAAATACTAATAGTTATATGTTCCACTGAGAATATGAAAAAAGAAAAGGAAATGAAATTGTACTTTTACAAAACCACTCAATGTTATTCTAAAAACACCTTCCATTTGAGATTTCATTTCAGTGTGAAGACATGGCTGTGGGGGCTCCAGGGGACAGCCTGGGCCAGGCCTTCAGGAGGAGGAGGAGGCCGCAGTGGGAGGCTGTTTCCAGGTGCCGTGGGCTAACAGCAGCCCGGCTGAGGCCTCTCTTCAGATAACAGACTTGGCTCTGAGCCACGCTTGATCAAATCAGCACCCTTTTGTCAGGAGGCTTTGGAGCTCCAGGTTCTGGGGTTGAGAGCCGAGGGACCTTGGAGGAAGAACCACTTTCTTCTCACCCGGTGTGGCAGGAAAGGGAGCTGCCAGGGAGGGCAGCGCTTCAGCTAACCAGCGTGGTCTGCTCCCCTCATAGGCCAGTGCTCTGCCGGCCTCAGCTGAATGGGGATCCAGGGCAAGGAAGTGGAAGCCTTTTGGGACACACCCTGGCACAGAAGTCTCCAGAAGGATAGGAACACAGCCAAACATGGAGCCAGGGGCTGTGCAAACCTGGCCTCACCCAAACTCGGTCCTTTGCCTTGGTCCTTGCCCTCAGCCCTGATGCCATGAAATGCCCTCAAGGCCCCTGCACACTTTTGGTCCTGATTTTAGCCTCTGGACAGCGCTTGTCACTAGGGGCCACCCTCCCTCTCTGCCTTGGTCTCTTTCCCATCCTGTTCGCACCATGCACACCCCTGCAGGGTTCCATCCAGCTTCCTGCTCTTCCTTATTCCATCAGTAGATATCTGAGCACCCGCTTTGGGCCAGGCCCTGGCAGGGGCGAAGAGACACTGAGTGTACATGTTAGCGGGTGAGTCAGATAGGAAGAAAAACAAGGTGTAGATCAGGAAGGCTTGAGTCTCGCATGTCCAAACTCTTTCCCCAGTTCCCCCAGAGTGAAGGATTCTGGCACGGAATGTCAGGGTCCCAGGATTCCCAGCCTCACTCAGCTTTGAGACAGAGAGGAAGCCACTTAGCTGCTTCAGGCCTCAGTTTCCCCACCTGTAAAGTGAAAAGGCTGGACTATAACCTCTAGGTCATCACGGTGCTGTAGAACTTTCTGCGATAATGGGAACTTGTACATCTGTGTGCCCAGGTCAGCTGTCACTAGCCATATGTGGGTGTTGAGCACTTGAGGAACTGGCTTTTTTATTTAATTTCTATCCATTTAAATTTGAGTAGGCGCATGTGGCTGGTAGCTACCGTGTCAGACAGCACAACTCTAACCATGCTGGCCATTCATCCAACACTCCAGAATGATGCAATAGCATTAGCCAACCATGCAATGACGTTACCTGCAAACTCTCTGAGTTGACCAACAAAATAAAGATGCAGAGGAAGGTGAAGCAGTTCTGATTTTCAAATGGACTCATGTCTCCTTCCAAGAAAAAGACCCCACCCACCACAGGTGAACTGGGGGAGCACGGGAGCAGCCATCTGGCCCTGTGGCCCTCCACCCTGGCTGCATGATAGAATCTGCTGGGGGACATTTTTAAAAGTGCTAATTGGCCAGGCACAGTGGCTGACGCCTGTAATCCCAGCACTATGGGAGGCTGCGGTGGGCAGATCATGAGGTCAGGAGATTGAGACCATCCTGGCCAACATGGTGAAACCCCGAATCTACTAAAAATACAAAAATTAGCTGGGCATGGTGGCAGGTGCCTGTAATCCCAGCTACTTGGGAGGCTGAGGCAGGAGAATCCCTTGAACCAGGGAGCCGGAGGTTTCAGTGAGCCAAGATCACACCACTGCACTCCAGCCTGGTGACAGAGTGAGACTCCATCCCGGAAAACAAAAACAGAAACAAGCAAACAAAAAAACATTAATAACCAGGTCCCACCCCAATCAAATGGAGTCAGAATCTCTGGGGCTGGAGCTGGGCTTAGTCGTGTTCTTAAAGCTCCTCATAGATTCTAACATGCAGCCATTGTCTTGTCCAACTGCGTCACTGAACTGGTGGGGAAACCGAGGCCAAGAGGGGAGAGAAGTTTGTCCAGGTCACACCATGAGTTGATCTCAGAGCCTGAGCAGGACCCAGCTCCCTGCACTGCCTGGGCCAGGCTCTGGGAGCAGCACGCAGGATCCGAGGGGGAGGCGACCTCCTGATTTCCCTGGTAACAGAGCTGTGGCCCAAGCGGAGCTTCTGCCCACCTGTGCCATTTTAATTTCCCAACTGCAGGTGAGTCAGCCCGCGTATGCCAGTGCTCTGAAGGATGGCTCAGAGCCATCTCCCTTTCTCACTGGAGGGTATTATTAAGACCAGGGCTCCATACATTGGAGAAAGATAGCTCTTCCTTTGTCACATAGTGAAATAAGCAATTTTCTAGGGAAACATTCACATTTAAGCTCATTCCAGACACGAAGAGCCCCAGCTCATCACACCGCACCCACCACCTGTGCCTGAAGGGACGGGGAGGCAGGCTAGGGGTGGGAGGTGGGGAGGAGGAGGTAAGGGGAGGCAGGCCAGGGGAGGAAACTTCGCTGGGTCCAAGCCCCTTTAGGCCAGGAAGGAAGGTCCCTGATGCAGCAGGGGATACTCAGCCCCTGACCCCAGGCAGGGCCTGGCCCTAGGAGCCTCATGGTTGGCATGGGCACTCCCACCACCCCGGGCTCCTAGGTTCCCCTCTGAACACAGAACTGGCCACTGCTCCACCTCCCTCAGGACCTCCTCTGCCAAGGAGCCTGCTCTTCACCCTGGCTGCTGGGGTAAATTGTTTGTACCCCAGCTCCTGTCTCATGGGCCGCTGGTGACCCAGCCCTGGCAGACCCGGGTTCAGGTCTCAGCTTTTCTACTTAGTAGCTGTGTAGCCTCCTATCAGAGCCTCATCATCATCTCTAAAGTGGGGATGAAGCGGAGCCTACCTTCCTGGGGTTGCACGGGGAAGAGCGTGGTCAGCACAGTCCCAGGCACACCACAAGTGCCCAGCAAACGGTGTTGTTTTCCCTGAGCCCCTCGTGACCATGGGCAGCCCCTCATGCCCCTGAGGCCAGGCCTTTCCCAGTTCCCTTTGCATTTCCTAGTTCCCACCAGCATTTCTTAGTGCCTGGCCAGGCACTTGCACAAATATTTTGCAAATTTGTGTTAAATGTGTTAAAAAGTGCCCAGAAAGAAAGGAACTGGGATTGCCTCCCCTCTGTGTTCCTTCTCCAGAAATTAGAATTGGAAGCCACTGTCCCCATCACTGATAAACCAGACAAACACAGGCCATCCTGCTGCAGCTTCCGCCTTACAAACCCACGTGCACCAGACACAGTCCCCGGGAACAATAGGCGGAAATGAGGGGGCCTGGGAACGCTGCCCGAATCCTGCCCAATTGTTCAGGACCCTTGCATAGAAGATGCGGGTGGTGTGGAGAGGAGGCCCAAGAGGGTGGGCCTGACAGTAAAAAAACAGGAACCGGTGCAGGAAGTCGGGGGTGTTGGACGTGTCTGATGTGTGTGTGACATGTGGTGCATATATAGGGTGTGTGTGTGTGGTGTGTGTGTCTCTGTTGTGCACGGCATGTGGGGTGGATGTGGGGGATATGGGGTGTGTGTTTGCGGTGTGTGTGGG
The DNA here is from genome assembly GCF_000001405.40 of Homo sapiens. Taxonomy (NCBI): domain Eukaryota; kingdom Metazoa; phylum Chordata; class Mammalia; order Primates; family Hominidae; genus Homo; species Homo sapiens. The sequence continues at coordinate 10,403 of NW_011332693.1, forward strand.
GTGTCTGTGGTGTGTGTCTAGCGTGTGCTTTGTGTGTGGATGTGTGTTTGTGGTATGGGTGGTGTGGTGTGTGGTATGTGCATTTGTGTGGTGTCTGCGGGGGGTGGTGGGGGGTGGTGTGTGGAGGGTGTGTGTATTTGTGGGGTGTGTATTTGTGGTATGGATATGTGGTGTGTGTAATATGTGATGTGGTATATGTATGGTGTCTGTGATGTGTGTGGTGTCTGTGATGTGTGTGGTATGTGGTGTCCTTGTGGTATGTGTATGAGTGTATGGCATGTGTATTTGTGGTGAGTGTGTGGTGTGTGTTTGTGGGGTGTGTGTGGGGTGTGTGTGTGGGGTATGGTGTATGTATGGGTGTGTGTGGTGTCTGTGGTGTGTGTGTGGTGTGTAAATGAATGTATAGTGTGTGTGGCGTATGTATGGGGGTGTGCGTGGTGTGTGTGTACGTGTGGTGTGTACATGGGTATGTAGTCTGTGTGGGGTGTATATATGGGTGTGTGGGGTATATGTGGGGGTGTGGTGTATGTGGGCGTATGGTATGTGTGCTGTCTGTGGTGTGGTGTGTGTATGGAGTGCATGTGTGGTGTGTGTGTGAGAGATGTATGTGTGGTGTGATGTGTGTGGTGCATTTGTGTGGTGTGTGTGGTGTGTAAATGAATGTAGTGTGTGTGATGTGTGTATGGGTGTGTGTGGTGTCTGCGGTGTGTGTATGGGGGTGTGTGTGGTGTCTGTGGTGTGTGTATGGGGGTGTGTGGTGTCTGTGGTGTGTGGTGTGTAAATGAATGTATAGTGTGTGTGGTGCATGTATGGGGGTGTGTGTGGTATGTGTGGTGTGTATATGGGTGTATAGTGTGTGGGGGGTGTGTGTGGTGTGTGTGGTGCGTATATGGGTGTATAGTGTGTGGGGTGCGTGTGGTGTGTATATGGGTGTATAGTGTGTGGTGTGTATATGGGTGTATAGTGTGTGTGGTAGTGTGTGTGGTGTGTGTGTGTGTGGTGTGTATATGGATGTATAGTGTGTGTGTGTGTGTGTGTGTGTGTGTGGTGTGGACAGGCTGTGGAGTGAGCCCACCCATGGATGGGGTGGCCTGAGGTACGTCCTGACCCCCAGGAGCTCTCCAGGCCCAGAGTGAGTCTCGGGGTGGGAGGATGGCATGCAGTGAGGTGTCAGGAGCTTGGAACAGCATGGAGCCCAGGACACCCAGGACTTGAGGCCACGCTCTCAGGAAGCCTGCTTCCATGTCCAACGTGGAAGAGCCCAGGGGTTTTGGGAGAGCCACTCACAGACTATAAGGTAAAGGGTTGGGAGCTGTTGATAGCAGAAAACTGCCTGGATAGACTTGGGAAGCCTGAATCCTGATTCTCACCACACCATTGCTTTGGCCAGGACAGAAACCCACACGAGAAAGCTCAGAAAGGGGAGTTTATCTTAAGAATCAGCAGAATTCAGGTGGAGCTGGAATGTCAACAGGACTCAGTGTCTTTCTGTCTCCATCTCTGTCTCTGCCTCTGTCTCTCTTTGCCTCACCGTTCCCCTCTCCTTTCTTCCTGGGCGACATGGCCTCTCTGCTTTCTCTTCTGATCAGACCCACCGTGCAGAATTGAGTGTGCAGGATCCAGCATATAGGATCCAGTGTGCAGGACCCGGTGTGCAGGATCCAGTGTGCAGGGTCTTGCAGTGCTGACATTCCCTCTACTAGTCTCCAGGTTGCTTGGGCCATTCCTCCATCTGACTGGGTATCCGAAAGGTGCCACCACACCCAGGCACTGAGAAGCAAAAGGGACGCAGAGTGAGTAGGCAGATCGGCCTGCATGTGCTCACTTGGTATTTCCAGTTCTCCAAGGAAAGAATCTGACTGGTCACTGGCCAAACCCTGGCTGGTCTTGGGTTCCGTCACCCCTGGTCCATCAGCTGCGGCAGGAAGAGTCGCGTGACGCCGAGGTGACCAAGCTTGAGCCTTCAGCGGGGCTGTGAGCAGGCCAGATCCGACCTGCCACCTGTCTGTGTAAATCAAACCTCATCACAAAATGACCTCAGCCATTCATTCACACATTGTCCGTGTCTGCTTTCACACTAAAACAGCAGAGTTGTGTAGTCGTGACAGAGACTCTATGGCCTGCAAAGCCTAAAATTTTTACTATGTTTTCTGAACCCTGAACTGGGAAAACAAATGTAAAAGATCCATGAGTACCACAAAGCACTGCATAAATATGAGGAATTCTAGCGACAGTTACGTTGTCCCTCATCCTGCCAGGACCTCACAAGAGTCTGCTGGGCCCCCTGGATAAAGTATCAACCATCCTAGTTGTGATTTTCCATGATGCCAAACTTCCAGGCCGTTTGCAAATACGAAATGGAGCTGATCAGTCCCGGTCCTGCCGGTTGTGAATATGACCTCTGCGGAGACTGTCTCGAGGTAGCACGAGCCCATGCCAAGATGAAAGGAGATGCAGTTGTTCACCCAGATGTTGTGCTCAGCACTTCACAACCATTATCTCATTAATCCTTTCAACAACTTAATGAGGCCCGTTCTGCTGCTGCCAAATTCTGCTGAAACCAAGGCTTGAGGAGGGCTCTAGAGTTGAGTACCAGACAGCGCTGTGACGGATCCTGTGTCTGCAGACACCAGGCCTCCTGCCCTTCCTCCTTGGGCTAATGAACTTTTTCTAAATCATGCATTTAAGTCACTCACTCAGTTAATATTATGTTCATAATATGTGCAAAAGACTGCGCTAGGTGCTTTGGGGAACAGAAGCAATGATGAATAAGGTGCAACCCTTGCTTCAGGGACAGCACCATCTGGGGCGGATGATGACACAGATAAACACTCGAATGCGAGGTGGAAAGAAACTAGCTCTTTGTAGAGGTTCTTAGTGAGGACTGTGGCAGCAAAAAGATAAACATTCCAGAACTTTGCAGCTAAAAAGAATCTTAGAAATTATTCATGGGCCCGGTGCGGTGACTCACACCCATGATCCCAGCACTCTGGGAGGCCGGGGTGGGCAGATCACCTGAGGTCAGGGGTTTCGAGACCAGCCTGGCCAACATGGAGAAACCCCAACTCTACCAAAAAATACAAAATTAGCCGGGTGTGGTGGTGCATGCCTGTAATCCCAGCTACTGGGGAAGCTGAGGCAGGAGAATCGCTTGAACCCGGGAGGCGGAGGTTGCAGTGAGCCGAGATCATGCCATTGCACTCTAGCCTGGGCAACAAGAGCGAAACTCCATCTCAAAAAGAAAAAAATTATTCATGTTAGTTTGGTGGCAGAGACTGACAGCCGTGACCCTAACCCATTTCCCTGCTTCCTGTGGACAACCCCCCTCCGCAGCTAGCCGTGCAGTAGGAATGGCTGGTGACTGGGATAGAAGTGGGGGTGGTGTGCACTACTTTGGGCCTGGCCCATGGACACATTTCCACATAGTATGTTCCACACTCTCTCCCCTTCCAGCTCACCAGCATGGAGATGACCCCACTGAGACCATGGAGGTAGCTGAAGATGACACTGAAGATGACAGACACAAGACAGAGGAGGCAGGGTCATCTGATTATCACCTGGAAGCTGGCTGGCTGCTGGTGCATTTGCACGGATTGACACATGAATGAGAACAAACTTGGATCATGTTGAACAGTGAGATTTGAGGCATTGTTTGTTACAGGAGCCAGTGTTATCTAACACAATAGGATCCCAACTTTGGCTCACAACTAAAATCACGTGTGGACCTTCTTTGACATCTTAGGTCCCCTGAGATCCACCCCGGATGTCCTGGTTCAGTAGATCTCGTGTATGGTCTGGACATGCACATCTTGAAAAAGCATCCTAGGTGGTTCTGATACAAACTCTGATCACCATCCTCTGGTGTCTAGACAAACTTCCTCATTTTACAGACTTTACAGAAAATGAGACCCAGAAAGATCATCGTACCAGGTCACACAGCTAGGCAGGGGCAGAGAAGGAACCATAACCTGGTCTCCTAGCACTGCATAGATTCTATGACAGAGCTCCCTGTTCAGGAATTACATCTACAAGTTCCTTGTAGCATTCTTAAACCTCCAATGGCCCTGTTGGGAGGTTTGCCAAGGCGATGTCTTTTTGTTGATAGGGCTTAGATGCAACCAAGTTATGCAAAAATATTTTGAGAAAACTGTTAACTGATTTTGGAGGTCAAAACAGTATGTTCACGTGTTTATGCCTTTCCTGCTTACAACGCACTCTCCCCACCTTTCAGGTCATCGCAAATTCCCATTCTCTTTAAAACCCTTCCTGACTATTTACGCCCATGGTTGACATCTCCTTGGCACTTCAGTAGTCAGCAAATACACACACACACACACACACCCCACATGCAGTCATACACCTACACACACACACTCATGCCCCCCAAACACACTCATACATCCCCACACAAATTCACACATATACCAACACACATTCACAATACACCCACACACAAACGCACACATACTCCAACACACACTCACATACACCCACACACAAACTCAAACATACTCCAACACACACATACCCAAACACACACATGCACCAACACACACACACTCACAAACTCACACATACACCAACATACACATGCACACACACACACCAACATACAAACTCATATATAACCCCCCACGCACATGCACTCACACTCCTACACACACATATACCAACACACACACACTCACACATATAACCCCTCCCCCACACATGCACTCCCACCCACACACCCACAAACACACTGACACACCAACACACACACACTGAGACATACACCAACACCCGCATACACATAAATCCACTCACACATACACTCACACATATAACACACCCACATACATGCACTCACATCCCCACAAACTGACACACCAATATACTCACACATACACCCTCATATACTGTCACACATACACTCCACACACTGACACATACACCAACATACAAACTCACACATATAACCCCCACACACGCACTCACACTCCCACACTCCCACACACACATACCAACACACACTCACACATATAACCCCTCCCCCCACATGCACATTCACACATACACTGACACATCCACCAACACACACTCACACATACACCCACACACACTCACACATACACCAATGCACACCATACATACACTCACACATATCACACACACACACACTTGCACTTCAGCCAGCATTGTTGGAGAATGTGCATCCAATGAAATCAACTATCCCAGACCAGTGATACACGTTTTTAAAATTCAACCACATTGATCAAAAACCTTGATAAAATGTTTTGTGCATTTCTTGGATTCTCACGTAATAGGATGACTGCAATTTTCTTGATAGTTTAAGATCACCACTAGGGGCATGAGCTAACATGAAGACACCTGCTCCATCGGAGGTGGCGCGTGAGGCTCTCAGCCCTGGGCCTCGCCGTGGGTCTTTTCTCTGGTTCATGCTGCTGTTGGTGGCTCTGTTGGTGAGGATGGAGGTGCTGCTGCTGCCACTCAATCCTTCATAGAAGAACAGATAATGAGGGAGGACCGAAGCTGCTCTGCCCACACAGTCAAATGCCAGGGTTTGCAGAACCCGACTTGGCTTCTCTCTGCAGCCCCAGATCCACTTCTCAAGTTTATTCTAGGTCCAGGTTTGCTTATTCTGATTTCTAGATTGGTGGAGTGTTAGGGTGTTCACATGTTGTACACTAACTTGTCCTTGTTGTACACTGACTAATCCTGGTTGTACACTAACTTTTCCTGGTTGTACACTTGTCCTGGTTGATATGCTCATTCGTCAAACCATCTCTGTACTGTTTCTCTCCAGTCTGTGCCTCCCACACTGAGCTGGGAGCCGCTGAGGGCTGATCGTATCTCAGAGTCTTCCCGTCCCTCTTCCCCTCCCCTCTCCACGCCTTGGCCCAGCACCCATTGTGTCTTGCCACACAGTAGGTATTTCTTAATACCCTTCAGCTTTCAGTTCCAGCCCAGGGCAAACATTGTCAGATTTTATGTTAACCTTTTTTTGAAAATCTGATCCTAGCTGCAAGTCAGTGAATAGCTAAGGCACAGCAGTCGCCTCTGGGAACATTATCCTCAATGAGAAGATTTAGATTCATTAGATTTCTGCCTTTAACAAGGAAAAAAATTTACCTAGGGGGCTCAGAAGAAAATTCCATTCCATATTTTAAAGTCGCAGCCTAGATTTTTAATTTCCTAATGGATTTATAACAGGAAAAAAATTACTCCTCAATATGGTATTCTTGCCAGACACCAAATCTATTCTCATTTTGAACTCACAGTTACAAAACCCTGGCCTTTCTTCAGCTACTGCACAGAGCCCATTTGTGGCAGCAGAACTTAGAGATGCATCTGGTCGTGCTCCACAGCAGCCTTTTCCCCAGGGTGAGCACGTGGGGCTCTTGGCTGGAGCCCTGTGATGCCTGTGGCCTGGGCCTTCCTGCAAGGTCCCTGTGGATGCCTTTTCCATGCACCCACGAGGACGCCAGACCTGAGCACTCTGGGATGGCAGCAGATACCAGAAGTGGGAGGTTTTGGAGCCTGAGGAAGGAGCCCAAGAGATGGCCTCACTCTACCCTCTGGTGAGGGATGAGGAACTGGAGACCGAGAGCAGATTTGAGGACAGCCTGGATGCAAGGCCAAGACCAGACGTCCAAGCTTGTCCCCTCCACCGCCTTCCACTCACCCAGTATGCCCTGAGCACCTTTTTGTGTGCAGGGGAGCAGCAGTCCTGGTCGCACTGTGCTCATGATCTAGCTCTCTACCTCCCTGTCTCACTGGGCTTATAGTCTAGCTCTCTGCTTCCCGGTCGCACTGGGCCCGTGGTCTAGCTCTCTGCCTCCTGGTTGTACTGGGCCCGTGGTCTAGCTCTCTGCCAACCCTGCCTGACGGTGGGGAGAACTTAAGCTGGCATTTTGTCTAAATGTTCGTAATTGGCACCTCAGAGCTGAGGTTTCTTTATCAGGAACGCCAGTGTGCCTCTGAGCTGTTGGATCCTCTAGACCTACGGGCAGCCCTTCTCCTGGGCCCCGGGCCTTGGGTCTTCCACAGAGCCCTGGCAGTTCCTCCGTCCCCACTGCATGAGGTGCTGGCCTCAACTCTAAAGGAAGATCAACTCTAAAGGAAGCTCACTGCCTGGGTCAGGGTGTCGGGAAGGCAGCTTCCCCTCCACTCCCAGTTCTGACCCTCCCTGGCCCTGGGGCCTTGGGCTTCAGTTTTCTCATGCACCCTTCACGGGTTGCACTGGATAAGCCTAGAAGAGTTTTCCAGATCCGATGCTCAGGACATCATCGAGAGGATGACAACAGGGGCAGTTGGCCCAACCAAGGGGGTGCAGGCTTCCAGACGCACCAGATCAGAACGTGAGTGAGTCTCGGTTTCTGGCTTGTAGACCAGGAGACTGGGAGGGAGAAATGAACTGGGTCAAGCCCACGGTTGGTGCAGCAAGTCCAGCACAGGTGCTCAGTGAGCGGCCCAGGGATCTGTTAACCCTGCTGTCCATGGGTCCCTCCTACCAGGGTCCTACCAGGCACCCCTTCTAAGCAGGCCCTCCTGCTGGCGGGGAGTGGCCTGGCCCCCTGGGGCATCACCAGCCCTGCAGCCTCCCCTGGTCCCTGAGAGACCTGAGGGACCCTGGCCCCAGGGAACCTGAATCTCCTTAGACAAGCCCCGGCCATCAGGGTTTCCTTTGGAGTAGGCGGCAGCCCCTGTGATGACCCCGTGGGCAAGACCGGGCTTGCCTCACCCTACCTGGGCCTCACCCAGGAGGCCCCCTGAGCAGCAGTGGGACCCTGGGGGAGGGGTGGCGCAGCTGCCTACAGAAATGAACTGTTTATTCAGTCTGCAGTCCATGCTCACCGGGGCCTCCAACCCCACCCCACCCCCTCCAGCCGCTCTGGCCTAGGAAGGATCATCCCTCCCCAACCCCCCATCCACTCAACCCTGAGCGGCCCCTGGAAGATTCCACAGCCATCAGCCTCCCAGCCGCTCCTCCTGTTAGCACTCACTGGCTGGTCAGCCCACCCCAGGCCCTCATCTTGTTTTTTTCCTTGCTGTGGGTACAGAGGGGCTTCTGAAAACATGGCCACAGCTGCCATTCCTGCCCCCTCACCTGGCCAGGCTCTGGTGTTGGGATTCAGCTGCAGCCTTGGCCAGCTGGTGGTTTGAGAAGTCCATGGTTTATTTGCCACCCAGAATGCCAGGCTGGGCACCAGCCTCACCAAGGGCCAAGAGGATCACCCCTGCAGAGCCAGCCCAGCACCGCGGTGGAGGTGGACCGGGCTGGGAGAAGCTCGGCCTCCTCCTCTAAGCTTGAGCACTCCTTTGCTGAGCTCTGTTCCCAACCCCAGCAAGGTGCAAAGGGAAGGAGGGAGGGGTCAGCAGAGGGGGAAAGCAGGGACATGTCTCTCAGGAGGCTCAGCAGCAGGACTGGAGAGGCAGGGGAAGGCAGCGGTGAGGCAGACACTGGGGCCCTGGCCGGTGAGCTGGGTGTGGGCAAAGATGAGGCTCCAGCCACAGCCACTGCTCGGGGTGGTCCCCAGGCCATGCTGAGGGCTCGGCCCTTGGCCCCCAAGGAAAATGGGAAATGACACGCTTCCAGGGGTTGGAGGCAGGAGAGTGACCTGCTTAGATGCTCACCATGACCAGGTGGCAACATTCCTTTGGAAAGACATAAGTCCTTGTCCAGAATCAGCCCTAATGCCCCCTTCCTTTGCCATTATCTTCCTCTCACAGGGCAGTACCAAGCCCAGCCTGACCTTCCAAAGCCTCCTTCCATCCTCTCGATGGGCCCCGTGGCCCCCATGACCAGGCAGGCACTGGGACGGCCACCCTCCCCACTCCCCCGTGACCAGGTAGCCACTGGGACGGCCACCTTCCCCACTCCACACACTCTTGGGGGCTGCACAGATCCTGGCCCTAGAACAGCAGGGCTGGCCAGTGGGACTGAAGGTCATCCGTGGTGACAAGGACTGAGGACAGTGCCAGGTATGGGCAGGCTTCAGCCGCAGCTTCCTGGCATGGCCTGGGATCCCACATTGGTCAGGTTGGGGGCAAGGCTCAGGATGGCAGGCTAGACTCCAGTCCCCACTCTGCAGCTGCTGCCTCTGACTGTGGCACCGCTGTTCCTGACTCCTGGCCTTGGTTTCCTCTTCTGGGGAAAGGAGATGACCCAGTGAGCCTCATGGGTGGCTGTGAGTCAACGTGCTATGGAAAGGCCAGGCCTGCACAGGGTTATCGTCCTCCCTCCCTCGCCACTCCTTCCTTGCAACAGAGCCTTACCCCTACACCCTGCTCAGCTGGCCAGGCACTGGACAGAGGCAAAGGAGGCTGGAGGGCACTGCAAGCTGTGCCTGCACAGGCCTGTCCTGGTCCTACATTGCCCTAACTGCCCGTAGGGTGCTCAGCAATGACTACTGCTTGGAGAGAATCTCAAAATGCACCGAGAACATTTCTAACCAGTGTGTATTTAAAACTGGGGCCAATCCCCAGGGTGGACAGAAACTACTTTGCCACTTCTGACACCCGCCTGGAGGGCTGATCTGGGGCCCCCTTCTCCTCCTCATGAGGATGGGGGTGTTGAGGGTGGGGATAGCGGTCACAAGAGAACTCAGGAGAATCCAGCTCCTGTGGGTGGGAGAGGTGGGTGAGAACCATCTGGAATCCACCAGAGAAGATGGACTCGGTGAATGCCAGCCCGGGAGAGGTCTGAGATGGGACAGCCCAGCCCAGAGGGGACAAACGATTTGCCTGCGACCACAGTTTGGGCCATGGAGCAGAACTAGAACCAGGTCCTGGACTTCAGCCCAGCACTCTCCCTCCACATGCTGGAAGGGGAGGGCAGGCCCAGAAGGGAAGGCAGGGCTGTGGTGGGGACAGCGGGGTGGGATGGGGTCATGGGAGCAGCCCACAGCTGGAGGAGGTGGAACAGACTGTCTAGTTAAGAAGACAGGCCCAGGCTGGCTCTGCCATCTGCTGTCTGGGAGCCTGGGAAAGGTCCCTGACCTCTTGCAGCCAGGGTCACTGTCACCTCTAGTTAACAGGATAGCAATTGTACCTGTCTTGGGCAGCCATTGAGAGGATGCCAGCAGGTGACATGTGACAAGTGCTTAGCCCTTGCTGGGTGCAGGGTCTGCTCCTAGAAAATACTTATCCAGAGCCTCCTCTTTGCAGAGGACACAGGCGGCTTCAACTCCCACTCCTGTGCCCAGGTCGCCATCACATGCCTAGCTCTGTCTCCTCCCACCCCTCCTCTGACCCTGCTGTCTCCTTCCTCTTCTGCTGTCATGGTTCTCTCCCCAGATCCTCAGGGTCTGGAGGCCTCAGTACACTTGAAGTCCTGGCCAGGAGCAACCAGCAGACATTCGGCCTACCGTATGTGTGATGCCACAAAACCTAGCAGGGTGAGCAGTTTTCTCTGCCCCACCTCAGGCTCTCAGGCTCCTTCCAAGCAGCCTCTCTGGGCTCACATTCAGCTGTGCCACATCTCACTCTCTGTGACGTGCTGTGTGGCCTTAAGCGACTGCATTGCCCTCTGTGCAGCCTCACTGTAAACTGGGGACATGGATTAGATGTCCTTCAAGGCCTTTCCTGCAGAAGCTTTTAAAAATCCAAACTCCAGGGTCCAGCCCAGGCCCGGGAAAGCCAGAGAGCAAGCTCTTCCTGCTCCACGTCCACACATGTTGACTAGCCCCGTTTTGCACACATCTCCAAACAGCTATTTTCCCTTTTAACCTACAAATAATATTTTTTTCACTCCCAAGGAACTTCTGAGGGGAGGCTCAGCCTACGTGGGGCGAGGCCAGGCTGGGGCAGCCTGAGAAATGAGCCGCATTCCATCCCCTCTCCCAGCAGATCATCCTTCTGAGACTCCCGCCTGTCAATACCAAGTCACTCTCGGGGCAGCGGGCCATGTATAATTGACGAGCTTTCTTCTCTCTGGTGGAGCCCTAAGACATCCATGGCCATAATGCAGGATATTAAAAGCTTCCTGGGAAGACACGGCTCTCATCTCCAAGAGGAGTAATTAATGTCACAAAGGGGTTTCCAATGATGATTCCTGCTTCAGCTTTGATTTCCTCCTACAAATCCCCCTGAGATACTCCTAGAAGCACCTAAGCCTTTCCTATGTGTGTCCTCCGAGGAGTCCCATCCACTTACATCTGTTCCAGGGATTGTTAAAGAAGGAGTCCCACTTTGCTAGGATCCAGGCCTGTGTCTAGGTGCAATGCAGGGAGGGAGACAGCCATTGTCCCAAAAGCATACCCCACCCAAAGGCCTTGCCTGGGTTCTCCCAGAGGGCTGGGCCACCATTTCTCCCTCTCCACTCCCTTTTTATAAAGAGTGATTCTTGGTCTCCAAAGGGGAAGCGATGTGAAACTAGACTGCCCGACTCTGAGGCTGGAGGAGCAGGGGTAGCCGGTTCTCGCCACCAGGGAGCAAAGCTAGGATGCAGCCTCAGTGCGATTCCCAGCCAGGGCGCCCCACTCTTGCAGCAGCCAAGAGAAGTAGGTCACTGGTTTTACAGGTGTGCTACCTGAGCCCCAGAGATGCTAGGCATCCTATACAGTGTCACACGCACTCACAGGAATAGCAGGGCCAGGACTAAGCCGTGTTCTCCAAATGCCATTCCCCTCTCCCTGCCCTAGGAGCTGCCAGATCACTATGAACAAATTCATCTCCTGCTGAGCACCTGCCACCCCTCCTAGAACCTTCCTGGGGGGAGCTGGGAGGCACTGCCTCTTCCTTGGAGTGGAGGGATGAAGAAAAGAGGGACCCCACAGTCTCTGTGCACAGTCCAAGCCCACTGTCATGCACAATGGCTCAGCCCTGAGATGCACAGGGGCCTCAGAGCCTCCACTCACCTGCTGGAGTCAGAGGAAAGTGTAAAGGGACTTTGGAAAATAACCCAGCTGTGGGTGCTACAAGAGAGGCTGCCTTGTCTGAGCAGGAGGGAGGCCCACTGGTCAGGGTTCCAGCCAAGAAGGCCGCAGCTCAGGACACGTTTTAGGACTGGCTTAAGACCTGCTTTGTGAACAGGGAAACCGAGGCAGCCACCCAGGAATGCAGAGCACCCTGATGCTGTGGGATGGTGGAAAGGCCTGGTCACCCAGGGCTCATGGCTAGCACATCAGAGGCAGGACAGTCACATGCTCCCAGGTGCTGCCCCATTGTCTGGGGGGCGGGGTCTGAAGCCTGAGGGACAGGCACCAGCGACCCCATTGCAGGGCAACAGGACGGGCAGGTAGAAAGCTCCTGTTCCTGCTCCCCTTCCCCTGCTTGGCTTTCCCATCTGTCATTCACTCCTCTCTCAGCCTCCCTCATGCTCCCAGATTCCAGGTCACCGTCAGGCATATGCTATGTGGTCCAGTCCCCAGAGGACAGAGATGAACCCAGAAAGCAGGAAAATAGCGAGGGGTGATAGGAGCCTGGGGGTCACGAGCAATGGGATAAGAAGATAAAGAAGGAATCCAAGTAGCTCAAAAAAATGAAGTCAGGAAAAAAGTCTTTTGAAATAGCGTCATTGATAGCATTGCACTCAACATCCTGGGACCTCCCTGCAGATGCTTGGGTGGAAGCCGTTTCTACACTTTTTCTCCTGTCACTTAGCCAGATCTCTCCAGAGTCACTGATATTTCTAGTTAGCCTCAGGCTGAGGCTTGGAAGTTCCTGGATATTAAAAATTAACATGGGCATGTGCGCTTTTCTTAAAGCAAGAACAAGCTAAAGTAGAGAATTTAAGAAGTCAGCTACTGTGTGATCATTTTTCCTGCCCCATGGTTCAAGGGTTTGACATTTTCATTCATTCACTGCACAAATGTTTATCGAGCTATGTGCCTGGCTTGGTTTTGAAGGTAATGGCACCACTTAAAGCTGCTTGGGTACTTCTACATATTTTTAGCATTTGTACACTTCCCAAACCACCAGTTGCTTTAATCCCACAATTTTTCAGGGGAAAAAACAAAAGCATTGTTCCGGCATGAAATACCTGCACAGGGCCAGCCTGGGCAAAAAGGAGAGTAGAGAGTCGGTGGTCACCTGTGGTTACCAACACTGGATCTCTCTACCACGGGGCAGGGGCTGGTGTAGTGGGAAGGGGAGGGGGGCATCTAGCAACCCCACAATAAGCAGCACATGGCAGTTGGAAATCCCTTTTGAAGTTTTGTTTTAGTAGAGGAGAGCTCTGTTATTTTCAATATGCATAATACTTACGGAGAGTATCTGAAAGAAATTAGCAGATTCTCAGGTTTTAGAAACCCATACTTGCAAAACGTGAGTAAATAATCCAACAAGGTATTGCTATCATTCAGGTGTTTTAAACATTTGTTTTTCTTACTCCCATACATGCTGGCTTCCCTCGTGAAGCACTAGTCAAACGACGCAAACGCCCAAGCCCGTAAACACATTTCTGATTATCTGAGGAGGGCTGCATGAAGCAAACTGGCAGAAAATGTCACTTGGACACCTCTAGGAAATGAAGAAACATGGACCTGCCCAGTTAATTTCCAATGCTGTCACTGTTTTGATGACACATCTCAGAGGAGGACGTTTTTCTCCCTTGCAGAGTGTAAATCAACCCGTTAGTCCTACGAAGCTCCCTGAGACAAGGTAGCAAATGTTTCTGCCATTTAAACACTGCCACTGGATGGCCAGAGGAGTGTCCCCGGTGCCTTAGAAGGAGCTACACACTGTCTTTGGACACCCCATGACATCTGTGTGGCTGTCTTCTCAACAAGGTTGGCTGTGTCCTGCTGTCAGCAAGAAGCCCAGGTGATTGGCAGCAGGAGCTGACCCTTCCCTCAAGTTTGGTCACTACTCAGATCTGTCTCCAGGGCCCTGAGCCAGGGAGGACCCAGGCCAGCTCAAACACCACATCCACCTTTCCATCCACAGGGCATGGCACATCCAGGCTGGGCAACATTGATGGGAGCACACCCCCTGGCCCACTGCCAGACCACACACCCACCCCTTTGCTGGGACTGCCCGGGCCTGGATCTGCCTCGAATGAGAATAACTCCAGTCTGCCTCTCCGTCCGGATTAAAACGCCTCAAAGAGGGGGTCTTCCACGCAACCTGTAACCCACTGCCAGGCACGGTTAGTGTTTGTTGAATAGATGTCAGCCAACTGCATGATGAACTTTGTTTCTTCCAGCCAACAAACGGCAATTTTCAAATGTTTTTCAGCTCTTACTCTTGATTTCTTCTACCTAACAGGTAAACAAACATTTGTGGAGCATCTCTAATGTGCCAGGCCTGGTGCCATGCTGGAAATGGGGAATGAATAATTCATGATCTCTTCCTTCAAGGAGCTCAGAGTCACATGGATGAGACAAGAGGTGAGCAGATTGTTTCCATGGGGTGCTCTGTCCCACTCGCTCTTTCCCATGCTTCAGGTCCAAGCCCCAGAGGACCCCTTCAGAGAGAGCATCCTATTTAACACCAGGTTTCCTGCTATCTTTATCAAAGCACCTATTGATTTATTTCATCAATAGCTATAATTTCTATTTATTTGATTATTTACCTATGTATCACTTGTGTTCCACCAGATAATAAACTCCACAAAAGCAAGAATATTGTCTATTTCGTTCTTCTTTGTAATCCTAGTACCTAGCACCTAGTAAGTACTCCATAAATATTTCCTAAAGAAGGAGTGTGTGCAGTGACATCTCTGACTGCTGAATTAAAACTTGCAGCCTTGCCTGTCCTGACACTCCTTGGACCCCTTCTTTGCTGTGCTTTTTCCTCCAGTAGTTGTCATACAAGTCATTCATGTATATTGTCTACTGACGGCCCTTCCACTCACTAGGATGTACATTCTGTGAGAACAGGGAATTTTTCTATTTTGTTCACTGGTTTTCCCCAGCACCTAGAACAGTACATATAGTAGATGCTCAATAAATATTGTATGAATGAATGAATGACAATACAATGTAGAAGTTAGTAGGAAGATAATTTAGTCTATTATGGGCAGGGGATGTCACAGAAGACTTCCTGCAGGATACTGCACCTGAGCTTATTCTTTATTCTTTTTTTTTTTTTTCCAAGATGGAGTATTGCTCTGTCACCCAGGCTAGAGTGCAGTGGCATGATCTCAGCTCACTGCAAATTCTGCCTCCCAGGTTCAAGCAATTCTCCTGCCTCAGCCTCCCAGTAGCTGGGATTACAGGCTTGCACCACCATGCCTGGCTAATTTTTGTATTTTTAGTAGAGACAGGGTTTCACCATGTTGGCCAGGCTGCTCTCAAACTCCTGACCTCATGATCCGCCCGCCTTGGCTTCCCAAAGTGTTGGGATTACAGGCTTGAGCCATTGCGCCCGGCCAAGCTTATTCTTAAGTCCTAATGAACACAGTGACCAAAGCTGACTCAGGAGGAAATAGAAAACCTGAACAGTTCTATGACCACTAAACAAATTAAATTAGTTTCCACCAAAAACTGCAAGGCCCAGATGGTTTTACTGGAGAGGTCTACCAAACTTTTCATTCCAACTTATGTAAACTCTTTCAGAGACTAGAAAGGGTGAGACCATTTTGTGAAGCTAGTGTAACCTTGGTAATTCAACCAGGTAAAAGCATTTGGGAAAGGAAAATCTCTGGCTAACATCTCTCAGAAGTATGTATGCAAGAGTACTAACAGGACATTAACAACCCAAATCTACCAAAGCCTATAAAATAATAATACATCATCATCAAATTGGGTTATTTGAGAAATAAAGATGGTTTATTATTAGTAAGTTATTGGTAATTTCACTATATTAAGAGATTAGAGGCAAATATTGGCATCTTATTAATGACAGAAAATGACATTAGATAAAATTTAACCCTCATTCATGATAAAAGTTCCTGGCTATTTAGAAAAATATGGTACTTTACTTAATCCAACAGAATAAATTTAAAATAGCTACATAAACATCATATTTGATGGTAAAGCACTGAAAAACATTCCTTTTAAAATTATAAAATAGGCAAGAATATCTGAGATCATTGCTTTTATTCAACCAAAAAAGTTGACTCATTTGGAAGGGGGAAGGGTTGACTATTAGATAAATGGTGCTGGGAAAATTGGCTATCCACATAACAAATAAACTGGATCCCTACCTCAGATTATATGGGAGAAAAAAGACAAAAAGCATAAATCATAAAAGAAAAAAATAGAACAATTTAAGTAAATAAAAAAAATTTTGCTAATCAGATACAAATAATACAAAAATGTTTTGTCAAACAAAAAAAGGCAAACCACAAACAGGGAAAAAATACTTGCAATATATCACCAACAACAAAAAAAAATTGCCAGCCATAGGGGTGCATGCTTGTAGTCCCAGCTCCTAGGAAGGCTAAAGTGGGAGAATCCCTTGAGTCCAGGAGTTTGAGGCCAGACTGGGCAACACAGCAAGACCACCATGACCCTGCATCTCTTTTAAAAAGATTATCCAAAATATATTTCAAATCACTAAAAAATTATTAGAGGCAAAACAGAAATAGAGACAAAAGTTATACACAGGCATTTCACAGAAGAAGAAATACAACAGTCTGCCTATAATCGGGAAAATATCAAGTCAAAACTACAATGGGATTCCATTTTACATCCATTTACTGTCAGAATTTGTAAACCTGTCAATAGAAAAGGTTAGGCAACCATGTAGACTGAAGAGAAATGTTTTATATACCACTGACCAGCATATAAACTGCTCTATTTTAACAAATTATTTGGCAACATACGGTAAAACTGAAGATATGCTGGGCCTATGAGTTGCACTTCCATTTCTGCATGATACCCTCGAGGAGCTCTTGTCCATGTGCAAAGGAGATGTGGTTAGCAGTGTGCACAGCAGTAGGTTAATAATAGCAAAAACAAATGTCGTATGAGAGAATAAACACACACACTCACAGAAACACACACACACATTTAAATACTGTACTTTACTGAAAATGGGTGTGAACTGGAGCTCTATGCATTAACACAGAGCACCTCAAAAACATGATAGAGGGCAAAAATGGCAAGTTATAGGAGAATATAGAGAGTATGATATCATTCACATAACATGTGAAAGCATTTTAAGCAACAGTGCATACTGCTTAGAGATGCACGCATACATTCACGTACAAAGATCATTATAAAAAGGTAAAACACAAGATTCAGAATGATGGTTACCTGGGAGCAGTAAGGAAAGGATTAGGAAGGAATACACAAAGAGCTTTAACCATGTTGATACACTTTGTTTCTTAAGCTTGGTAGTGTATTCTTTATATCCCTTGGATACCACATACTTTATTGAAAAATTGAGGAAAAAAAGGAATGTGTTAGCATCAGATGAAGGAGGAAGAAAGGAGTCTTCTAGGAGGGAACAGAAGCATAAGCAAAGATACTGGGGGGTAAACCAGGAGGTAGAAGGGGAAGACCACAAGAAACATGGTGTTTAAAGCACACATCGAGGCCGGGTGCAGTGGCTCACACCTGTAATCTCAACACTTTGGGAAACCGAGGCAGGAGAATCACTTGAGCCCAGGAGTTTGAGACCCACCTGGGCAATATAGTCAGACTTCATCTCTACAGATAATTTTTGTTTTAATTAGCCAGGTGCCTGTAGTACCAGCTATTCGGGAGGCTGAGGTGGGAGGATCACTTGAGTCCTGGAACTCAAGGCTACAGTGAGCCGTGATCACACCACGGCACTCCAGCCTGGGAGACAAAAGTGAGACCCTGTGTAAAATATATATATATATATAAAATCAAATTAAATAAAGCACACACCAAGAGAGGGTGGCTAAAGTTAGGCATCAGAGGTTATTGGAGAATAGACCCTAAGTAACCTGGCGTGCAGTGCTGAGGAGCCAGGAAATTGTCCTGAAGCCAGTGGAACTTATTAAGGGTATTAAGTGGGTGGGTGATTCAGTCCTCCAAGCATTTGAGAAAGTCCACTGTGGAGGAGAGATTGAGGGGAATGGGGCAGAGGAGAGGGTGTTCTGGAAGCAGAAAAGCCAGTGAGACACAGGAGAAAGGTCTGGACCAAAAAGTGAGGGGGCCCCAAGGAGTGCAGTGGCAATGGGGTGAGAGAAGCTGCCCAGATACTTAGTACCCAATGCCTGTTTCAACAGAATCCTAGTGCTGTGGTGTGTCCACACAAAAATGACTGCTCAGCATGTGGCTGCCTTGGAGTTCAAAACACAAAGCCTCCAGCCTTTCCCACGCATTGCTAGAGACAGCTTAGAATGAACTTGGCTGAGTTTTGCTGGCCTCCAATGCCTTAATTACGTATTTACTGGTATTTGGAATGGCTTGTGCAAGCTGCCCATGGTGTCAGGTCATTGCTTAAACTGAATGATGGCTTCTCTGTTCCATTTCTTCCTAATGAGTACACACACTTGAGCACTTAATATAGAGCAATGGCTTTCCAGGACAAATGGCCTTCCAGTAGAACAAAGCACTCTAAGGAGTTAGTGATTTCTGACATTTGTTAGCCAGGCTGACAACTCTGGACAAGGAAATTTGAAATTTTGAGTTGTTTCCAAATTGGCTGAGTTATAATAGTAATTGCAAAGCAAAGTCACGGAATCTCAGATATTTAACATTAAGGCCAACTCTTACTGGCGGGTGAGAATATGAGAACTTGGGACAGAAAGTGCCTGTAACCTAAGGTCACGCATTAGATTAGTGGCATCCAATGACAGAACATAAACATTCACTGAGCACCTGCTATGCACCAAGCCCTCTGCTGGGTGCTGGGGATATAAGGGTGACCACATGTCCGCCATTGAGGAGTCTGCATTCTCGCTGGAAGAGAAAGACAATAAACAAGGAAGCAATTCATGAACTCACCATTTCAGGTACTGGTTAGTGCTGAGAAGGGTACCAGTGGTATAAGACGATGGAAAGAGCCTGGAGCTACTTTTCCCAGGATGGTGAGGGAAGGTTTCTCTGAGAAGAAACTTCAGTCTCTAATCAAGAAAGCAGATCCCAACCAGGCGGTTTAAGAAAAGAATTTTAATATAGAGAACTAGGTCCAAAGGTGCTGGAAGAGAAGAAAGGGCAAAGGACACGGTGAGGCTATCCAGAGATTAGTAACAACAGCAGCTGCTACCAGCCCTAGCTAGAGACAAAGGGAAGGGCTTCCAGAACCCAAGAGAGGGCAACATACAAGGAAGAGTGGCCCAGTAGCATGTGGAACCCAGAGGAGATGGGGCAGCTGCCTGGGATAGTTCCTAAAGCAGAGAGGGGTTTGGGGGAAGAAACATCCTGGCTTCTCCCTTCTCCCTGCCTTCCAACCTGCCATGAACATCTCCCATCAGCTGAACATAACCAGAAACCAAAGGTCAAACATGCCTGGAAAATGCATCTTCCCCAGGGAAATGCAAACTTTTTGCAGAAGCCACCCAGGGATATACAGTAGGGTCAGGGGAAAGTGGAGGCTAGATCTTAGGGCTAACAGGCAAACGGCCAGAACATAAGGTAATGACCGAATCAAGACACGTCTGATAAAAGGAGGGACCCATGCGAGTGCTAGGGGGTAAGAATTCCAGCAAAAGGCACGCAGGGCGGCCGAGGCAGGGTGGGATGCACTGGCTCCCCTCTACAGTTCGGACTCACCTCCGGCACTGGCCACCTCGTTGAGCCTCCTTGTGATTCTCTTTTCCCATATTTTCCAGCTCCTCTCAAGCTTGCCTCTTGTGCCTTCAGAAAACTGCAGGGACCTGATGGAGGTGGAGCTGCTGGGCAGGCAGGGCATTCTCCAGTGTCAGAGCCAATTCCATGGCTCATAATTACACCTTTCTCCATTGATTGACTATTTACCCTGGGAATTGCACAAAAGCTTAACGTGTTCCCACAGCAGCCCGTGATGGAGGCTTCCTTCTCTCTGTTTGACGGATGAGGAAAGAGAGGCTCCGATTCAGTAAATAACTTGCTCAATGGTGCAGAGTAAATGGCAGGGCTAAGATTCCTTTCACTCATTTCATTTCCAAATGTTTAATGAACATCTGTCTATCAAGGTTCAGGCTGTGGAGATAAAATGGTGAACAAAACAAGCAAAGAATATGGTCTTACAGGGAATACAGCTATTAAACAAATAACCATGCTTGTGGTGTGATTATTAAAGAAATTATTTATGCCAAGAAAACAAGAAAGTCCAAAACCATGTTTATCTATTTCTCAAGTATCTCAAGTATAACAATTGATTATCTATTTTGTTAATTTCTGCTCTTGTATTTATCATTTTCTTGCCTGTCTTTTTCTTTTAGTTTTACTTCAAGGTTGTTTCTAGGGACTTCAGTTGAACCCTTAACTTATTTATAACTAAGGCTACACATTTTCCTCTGGGTGCTGCTTTAGCTATATCCCAAAGTTGACTAGACTGTTCTTTTATTTTTTTTTTTTTTTTTGGACAGAGTTTCGCTCTTATTGCCCAGGCTAGACCTCAGCTAACTGCAACCTCTGCCTCCTGGGTTGAAGTGATTCTCCTGCCTCAGCTTCCAGAGTAGCTGGGATTACAGGTGCCTGCCCCAACACCCAGCTAATTTTTTCTATTTTTAGTAGAGACGAGGTTTCACCATGTTGGCCAGGCCGGTCTCAAACTCTTGACCTCAGGTGATCCGCCCACCTCGGCCTCCCAAAGTGCTGGGATTACAGGCATGAGCCACTGTTTCTGGCCATGTTATTTTATTCTTTAGTTCTAAATATTTTATAATTCCCCTGATTACCTCTTTCACGCATGAGTTATTGGGCAACATTTTAAAACTTCTGTGTCAGTCCATTTGGGTTGCTGTAACAAAATCCCATATGCTGGCTGGCTTATAAACAACAGAAATTTATTTCTCACTGTTCCGGAGGCTGGAAAGTCCAAGATCAAGGTGCTGGCAGAGACAATGTCTGAGAGCCTGATTTCTGAGTTATAGATGGCACCTTTTTGCTGTGCCCTCACATGTTAGAAGATGTAAGAGGTCTCTGTCAAGCCCCTCATATGGGCACTGGTCCCATTCATGAGGGCTTCACCCTCTTGACCTAATCACCCCCCCAAAGCCCCACCTCCTAATCCTATCACCTTGAGGGTTAGGATTTCAAAATACAAGTTTTGAGGGGACATGAACATTCAGACAATAGCAACTTCCAAACATGCTTTTTATCTTTTTCCTGTTGATTTTTAATGTAATCGCTTGTGCTCACAGAGAGCGTTAAGATAATGTTAATTTGTTGGTATTTGTTGAGACTTTAGTCAAGATTTACTGCATGATACATTTTTATAAACATCTGTATATTCTTAAAAATTATATACCTATATATTGGCTGCATGGTTATTTCTGTATTCTTTCATAAAATCTAACTTAATTCATTATTTGTACCACTTTTATTGTCTGCTTGATCAATAGAGCTGTGTTAATCTATGAATGTGGATTCCTCAAGTTCTCTTTCTATTTCTGTTTTCATCTTACATATTTTGAGTTTTTTTTTTTTTGCTTTAAAGTTCAATATGTGTCATATTATCACAGAGCCCCTTGTTCAAAAATTATTTAGAATTTTGAGACAATCCTAGCAGAACTTTAAATCAAGCAGGAGGCCTTTCTAAGCCCAGAGCCCTGTGCCCACCCATAAAGCTGGCCATGCTTGGGTCCCCTGGGGTGAGGACTGGTTGAAGGAGTGGACACCAAACTGTCTTATGACCTTTAGAGAAATCATGTAAAGTTCATGCCTACTTGGTGGGCGCATGACCAGCATCAATTTCATGCAAGGGTTGGGAGGTTGGGGACCAGTTAGTAACACTGAGTCATTTCATATAACTCACTGGGTGCACTTTGCAATTTTAAAAATGTAAGCTCCTGAAAGCTTTTAATTTTCCCATTTACTTTTGGCTGTGGATTTTGCCTCAGCTGAAATGCAAAAGCCTGAGGATTATCTATTTAAAGCTATCGTCCAAGCTTTACAGTAGGCAAATGCTGTGTCCAGTGTGGAGGTTTACAGATGACAGTTTAAAGAAAAGTCTCGGTTCTGATGCAGCTGTCTTTGGTTAGCACATTGGAAAGTGTGCTTACCCTCGGAAAGAAACCTCTGGGGGCTAAGAAGTAAGTGGTTTCTGCTTCTGGGGTTTTGTTCAGAAACCCAGAAAGGCATAAATAGCATCGTTCCAGAAACATTCCTGCCTGGCCCTTTGATCTTGGCCTGGCAGCCATTGCAGGGTGTGCCGCCCACCCACCCTTTGTGGGCTCAGTCAGTACAGGGTTACGTGCAGCCCTTCAGAGCTGGGGTGGCCATAAAACCAACTAGTGCAACTCCTCAAATCATAGCAGAGGCCCAAGAGGGCAGGTGCCTTGCCTAAAGGCACAGCAAATCAGTTGCAGAGCTGGGGGTCTTCCTCCTTCAACCTCTGCCCCTTGGCCATCCCCCAACTCAACTGATTATCTGCTGAAACATGAAGTTGGCAGGTTTTTGTTGTTGTTATTGTGTTTTACCAAGGCACTGATCACCTGAACTTCTTGCTCGGCCAGTCTTTATTCCCAGCCACTGACACTAGAGATATGCTCAGGTAAGGCCACCAGAGGCCGGGGTCGAGGGATAGGGAGATGAAGGAGTCGTTACTTCCTCTTTCTGATCTCCTTTCCATAGACTCACCCAGTGAGAAACCTAAAACAGCAGCAACTTGTGAGTCAGGGATGTGTGTCTCATCCAAGCCTCCACCCAGGTCTCGAGGCCCTGCCCCAGCATCCCTGTCTACCAGCTGCCCATCCTGCTTGGATACAGCCAGTAACAGGGAGCCCACTCCCACAGTGGGGCTCAGGCCACCGCCCTCAGCTCTGTCCCCACACATCCCCTGTCAGTGTCACAGAGACCATAACTGAGTCATCCTTTTAGAGGTCCCTCTCTAGGAGAGCGTGAACTTGAGGAACTGAGGAAGATGGCACCATGCCCTCTTCACGGCTTTATCCTAACTCCTGGTTCAGAGATGTTGCTTACAACAGAATACCTGAAACTGGGGGATTTATAAAGAAAAGGAATTTATTTCTTACAGTTTTGGAAGCTGAGAAGTCCAAGATTGAGGGGCTGCATCTGGTGAAGTTCTTCTGGCTAGTGGGGACTCTCTGCAGGGTCCTGAGGCAGCCCAGGGCCTCACATGGGCTGAGCACGCCAGCTCAGGTCTGTCCTCCTCTTCTTAAAAAGCCACCAGTTCCACTCCCACAGTAACCCATTAATCCATTCACCCATAATCCATGGATAGATGAATCCATTCATGAAGGCAGAGCCCTCATGACCCATTCGCCTCTTAAAGGGCCCATCTCTCAATATTGCCACATTGAAGATTAAGATTCAACATGAGTTTGGAGGGGACAAATATTCAAATCATAGCAGTTGCATCACACACATTTCACTAACAAATAGTTATTGCTGTTTCCCCCAACCTCCAGTCCTCATTTGTCACGTCTCTGGGCCTCAGAGAACATTCGATTTTCCACAGGAAAGTTCACGGAGCATTGCAAGAGCGTTTGGTGGCCCTCTGAGTCATCTCTTCTCCTCACGGGACATCCCAGCATCTTCATGGATCCTCAGAGGCACGGGGGGCCACCCTGACCACCCTCCTCAGAGTGAACCTCTGTCTATGTGTCCTTCTTCATATGTGGTGGCCAGAAACCAGATCATGTGCACAGAACAGACAGGCTCTGGTACCATTGTGTGTGTGTGTGCCTGTGTGTATCTATGTCTGTGTGTCTTTGAATGTGCCCATATATGGGAGTTTGTGTGTGTGTCTTGGTGACTATGTAAGACTGCATGTGTGAATGTGAGAATGTGTGAGTCTGTGTATTAAGTGTGTGTATGTATGTGTGTGAGTTTTTATAAATATATGAGAGTGGGTATGTCTGTGTGGATGTGTCTGTGTTTGTATGAATGTGTTTGAGCACGTGTGTGTGTCTATGTGTCTGTGTGAGTATGTGTGAGAGAATGTGTAAGAGTGTGTCTGTATGTCTATGTGGTGTGTATGTTTGTGTGTCTTTATGCAAGAGTCTGTGTGTGTGGATGTGGATGTATGAGAATATGAGTCTGTATGAATGTGACTGGCTGTGTGTTGTGTGTGCACATCTGGTTGCCTGTTGGTCTCTGAGTCCTCTCCCAATGTCCCTCAGAGGGAAGACTGATGGGGCCACTCTATGGACGGCCCGTGTGAGGAGACCCCTCAGCAGCCCTGAGTGAGGGCCTGGCACCCGGGAAGTGCTCGGCAGCTGTGAGCCATTACCGTATCAAGATTTGTGTGTATTTAGTGACAAAGGCCCCTGTTGCGTTTCTATTTCCTGCAGGAAGAGTGATTGCAAAGTGGGGACCTGGAGGCAGCCAGCGGGGAGTCCTGAGAAGTACAAGACCCAGAGGTCTATTCAGAGAGAAACCAAACAGTCCAGAGACGTGGTGGCCACATTCCCCTCAGCACTGTGAGAAACAACTCTGTTTTACAGATGGAGAGAGGAAATGGAATCCCGGCACATGGAGTGAGGGCAGAAATAAAGATACATCACCCCGCCCTTCAGAAATCAGGGGAAGGGTGGTGCCAGGGAGTCCTTTCAAAGGCCTGGGATCACCACATGCAGGCAGGACCATGCCACATCTCCCCGCCTTTGGGTGGTCTCGACAATGCTACAGGGCCTATGTTACAGACGCAGAAAGCTCAGAGGGGTTAAATGACAACTCGGTCACACAGAGCTCCATCAGCAGTGCAGCCGGAACTCACACCCAGGTCTGCTGACTCCAGGACCAGTGTTCTGGGCCCCAGAAGCCCCCGTGGGACTTCCTGTGCACACTACCCAACAAAATGAAAACATCCTCAGCTGTCCCTGTGTGTGAGGCAATTCACATCCTGCTGCCAAGTGTTGCCACCAAATCTCTCTAAATTGGGCAATTAGCAGCATGATTTGTGAAATGAGGAACAGGATATGCTTTGACCCCTTGAACTTCTTCCCCACTGAACTCTCCAGTTCTAGCTGAGCTTTTAGTTTTAAACGTGGGAGTGGGGTGGGGCAGGAGAAATTTCCTTAAACCAGCGTTTCTGCCAATAGCCACTTCCTGGGGAACCATCTCTACCTGGATGGTTGAGGTTTCAAAACTAGATTCCAGCAAAATGAAGACAAGGCAAACTATGAACTGGAAAAAGTCAGTAGACCACTCACCGCCAAGGGTTGAGAGTCTTAATAGAAAAGTGTGCTTAGAAGATGACAAGCAGGAAAGCAGGCCAAGCGTATGAGTGGGCGACCTCCAGTGAAGAGATGCGAATGGTCATCCGCACAGGGAAAAAATATCAGCCTCACAATTGCTACATAGAGCATGTGGGAGCCCATGGATTCGGACAGAGCTCCCACACAAGGCCCAAGGCCTCACCAAGATGAAGTTACATGTCACCCAACTGAAGTTATCTGACACGCTGAGAAATTGGGAGAGAGACAATAGCCAAATTCCCAAACAGTCCAGTTTTAGCCAGCATCAGGGAAGTCCTGTCTGCTTTAACCCTATAAGGAAAGTCACCACAAAGTGATCAAACTGTTCTTTGTTTCTGTTTCTTTAGCCCTTTTCTGCCTGTAAAGTCTGCCTCCTCTGTTCCACCCATAGGAGCTCCTTCCTATTACAAGAATGGGATGCTTCCCCGTTCATGAACCACAAATAAAAGCCAATTTGATCTTTAAACAAAATTTGTTGAAATTTTGTTAACACCATTAAAAAAAAAAAAAAGGCAAATTAAAACAGTAGGATGTCATTTTTCTCCTAATAGATCAACAAAGATAAGACCTAGCCCAGTGAGGAAGCGAAGAAATGAGATCTCCCTAGATTAATGCTGGGGTTGAAATTGGCACAGTCTTTCTGAAAGGCCTTTAAGATGTGGGTAAATTTGACCCTGTAACTATTTTTAGACTTTATCCTGAGGGAATTGGTCAAGATGTAGGTGGAGATGAATATACAAAGATATTTATTGTGTTGTTACCTATAATATTGGGAAATCTGGAAAAAATACCCTAAATGTCCACTAATAAATTACTACTCAGGAAAATTACAGTAAACCCATATGAAGCGATACAACGCCACTGTTAGTCATTCCATGGCAGTGGAATCTTTGACTCCAAGTCCAGTGTCCTCCCACAAAGAGAGGCTGCCTCTCAAGTCTGTCCAGAAAGTGCCTCCACCTTCCAATGGCTGTGAACAGCTGGGGAAGTGTCAGTGGCTAACTCCCATGAAATGGTG
The DNA here is from genome assembly GCF_000001405.40 of Homo sapiens. Taxonomy (NCBI): domain Eukaryota; kingdom Metazoa; phylum Chordata; class Mammalia; order Primates; family Hominidae; genus Homo; species Homo sapiens. Next base: position 36,595 of record NW_011332693.1, read on the forward strand.
AACATGAGGTTCAGGGCTGGGAAGAAGAGCAGGGGATGTGGGCCAGAATGTTTCACTAGCATCCAATTTGAAGCCACATGTTTCCAAATATGAGGCTAATTAAATAACTCCATCATGTACTTGCATATTTTACCCTTGTTTACTTCATTGTCAACCCCACCCCGCCATTCTGAATAGGTTTTATGGCCCATGTGGAGAATAGTGTGAAGAGAGGCCAAAAGTCTTGATTCTCTGACACCTATCAGCTGTGTGATCGTGGACCACTCAGAACCCAGGCACCTCCTCTGAAATAGCCCCTGGCTAAGGGCCTGGTCTATGCAGGTGTTCACCAAGTGGCTGACATTGCTAGTGGCTGGTTTCCCCCTCTACTTTCTTCCCTAGCAGCCCTCTGACTCTTGGGGGCTCCATGATTTTCAGCAGCAATAGCATCCCAGAAAGCTGGGGGAGAGAAGTTTTAAAAGTCCAGGGAAGTTCGGGTAAGCAAAGACCACCCTTTTCCTCCAGCCAGTGGGGCTCCCTGCTCTTTGAGAGTTCTAAGCACTTGCATGCTGTGCTACCTTGTAGTAGGGGCTGCTGGTGCCTCTCCCAGGTCTCCTCTCTCTACCTGCTTTTGCAGGCAGCACCTGGAAGCTGTGAGGCTGGCCTGCTAACAGCTCACAGCCTTCCCCACCTCCAGAGAGGTGAAGCTTTACCTGGGAGGCTATGCCCACTCATAGGCCAAGGCCAGTGCAGGAAGGACCCATGGAAGGAAGGATAGATGGGCCTCCCACTCAAGGTGACTTCAACACTGTAATCAGCTCATACCCCACCACCCCCACCCCAAGCTCCCCAAGCTCTGGAGCTCTCCAGCCCACCCCACCACCTCCTGGGGTTCAGGCAGAAACAGGTCTCCAGCAGAGGCCACCCCTTTGCTTAGCTCCTTTCCTGCCCATCACTCTTCCCTGAGAGCTCCTTTCCAATAAACCACTTGAATAAGTCTCTGTTTCAGGCTCTGCATCAGGGAACCTGCCCTAAGACCAGCTTCAATTCAACTTTCCCGGAATTTCCTGGACACTTCCCCTGCAAGACGCCCTGCACCAGAGCTGGGTGATGAGAAGTCCCAGAGTCATTCTTGGGGTTTCTGTTCCCTGACTATAGTGTCCAAGATGGTCAGAGCTGGAACAAATGGTAGATAACATCTAGTTCAGGGTTTCCTGAGCATGCTCTGAGGAACATTAATCCCAGACTGGTGGGGGAAAAGGGAATCTGCCTGCAAATGAATGTAAGGAATTCTGGATTAAAAGTTAAGTGGAGCTCTTTACTGTAGCCCTGCCCATAGCCTTTAATATTCAAATGAGACCTAGAATTTTAGGGCTGTGTTTCTCAACCTCAACGCTATAGACATTTGGGACTGGATGCTTCTTTGCTATGGAGCCATCCTGGGCATTATGGGATGTTAGCAGCCTCCCTGGCCTCCACCTCCTAGATGCCATAGCATCCTCCCACCTTATGACAACCAAAAAATGTTTCCAGCCATTGCCAAGTAGCCCCAGAGGGGCAAAATCAGCCTGCCCCAAGTGAAGGATGTTATTCACTAGGTTCTTTTTTTTTTTTTTTTTTTTTTTTTGTAACATCTCTTAATGTCTCTCAGAACTAGAATTCTGCAGGGCACTATTTGAAAACCACTGATCAAAACCAACATCCATTTTACAGTTGAACAAACTGAGTCCTTGAAAGAAGACAGGGTCTACCCACAAAAATTAAGAGGATCCACAGCAAATCTGAAATTCAAACCCACGTCCTCAAGGAAATGAAATTTCTTGAGGGCCTTCCAAAGTAGCCCAGGGTGAAGGCCTCAGGAAGAGCCCAGTGCAGAGTGAGAGTTGACCCATCATAACTAGGGGCCCCATTTGGTTAAGGCTGTTTTATCTCCCCAGTGATCTGATCCTTTTATTCACTTCCAGGAACAAGACTGTGCTGATGTCAGAGGCATGTGAACCAGAGCAACTCCATCTTGAATAAGAGCTGGGTAAAATGAGGCTGAGACCTACTGGGCCACATTCCCAGACTGTTAAGGCATTCTAAGTCACAGGATGAGAGGAGGTCGGCACAAGATCAGGCAATAAAGACCTTGCTGATGAAACAGACTGCAGTAAAGAAGCCGGCTAAAGCCCACTAAAACCAAGATGGCCACGAGAGTGACCTCTGGTCATCTTCACTGCTACACTCCCACCAGCACCATGACAGTTTACAAATGCCATGGCAACGTCAGGAAGTTACCCTATATGGTCTAAAAGGGGAGGCATGAATAATCCACCCCTTGTTTAGCATATCACCAAGACATAACTATAAAAATAGGCAACGAGCAGCCCTCAGGGCTGCTCTGTCTATGGAGTAGCCATTCTTTCATTCCTCTACTTTCTCATTCAACTTGCTTTCACTTTACTATTGACTCACCCTGAATTCTTTCTTCCGTGAGATCCAAGAATCCTCTCTTGGAGTCTGGATCGGGACCCTTTTCCTGTAACACTGAGGGTCTTTCTGATAGATACCTTCCCGTAGTTATGGAGGAATGGTGGTGAATACATGGGGGAGGCAGCACAGAAATGCTCGAGAAGCCAAAGAAAGCAGCCCTGGAGCCCTCTCCGAGCCGACACGGGGGCATCCATTCTGCAGTCCCAACGCATTCCACTCTTAATCTCCACGTGAGATGCGACAGCCGTGCCAGGCTGTAAGCACACACCTGTAGCTTTGTGTTCCAGCACAGAGGAGCATGCCACAATTTTCAATTATGAGAAAGCTTTAACTCAAATCCCAGGAGCGGAAAACTCATTAATTTATTCAATCCAGCCTCCCTTGCTTCTTGCTAGGTTTTGAAAATTGTCACATGTGTTTGCCTCCACCCCACGTCCCCAATCCAAGACTGTTCTTTTTGAAAACAGCAGGGTTTTCCTTAACCTACCTTGGAAACGATGTCCCAGGAAAAGCCGGCATCTAATTCATTTCACGTGCTAAACTATTACAATCGAAAGGCAAAATCTCTACTGTGCAGCTTTAAAAACATCTGTTTTTCTCTTTACTTTGGGGGATAATTATCCTAGCTCCTATTGTGGCTGCTAATTACGAAGCTAAACCAACCTGCTGAAGGGCTGGCAAGAGGAGGGTTCTTTTCAAAGCATTTCCCCCAGAGCATTAAATCATCCGAAAGTGGAAGCAGAAAATGCACCAGCACCAGCCTCCCCACCACCTGCTCCCAGGCCTGGCTGACAGGGGCCCTGCAGGAACCTCAACCTCAGGGAGTAGGGGGTGGGGAGGGGAGATTTCATTTAACCAAACTGCTGGATGTGAATTTTTTTCCTTTTTCCATGAACAAATAATTGATCTGACTGAGAAGTTTTACTTTTTACAGAGACCAGACCCAGCCAGGATTCCAGAAACTTAACAAACCATATTTTATGTCAAAGAGAGAATAAAAAACAAAGTGTTTACTATTTCTTAAGATTTTATCCAAAGCCGGAAGTAACATCATTTAAAAGATGACTCTGTAGTAAATCCTCTTAAACCAAAACTAAGATTTTCTTTGCTAAAAGAATGCAATTTGAACCAAAAACAAAGAATGTTTATTCATTCATTTGTTTGACCTTTTGTGAGTCTCAGTCCCACAGTAGGTACTGAGGACAGGATAGCAGCGAGGCAGGGGCAGCCCCTGTCCTCACACAGCTCAGAGTAGGGCTGGGAGGGGGTGAGTACTCCAGAGAAGAAGGCAGGTGACTCTGAGCTGGACCAAGAAGTGTTCTGATGGGGTGGGATGGGGGCCTGTGAGGCCAGGAGGGTCTTCCCATTCTTGAGCAGTGCCACATGAGGCTTAGAATGAGGCATCTGAATTTTGAGAGGTGAATCAGAATGAGCCCAGGTTGAGAGAAGGGGCAGGTTTGTAAGATTGCTGCAGACAGCGAGAACAGCACGTGCAAAGGACCTGAGGTTAAGTTCAGGGACAGCTGAGAGGCAAGCAGAGCCCAGCCCACCAAGGTGCCTAAAGAGCCTAAAGAGCCAGGCCTTTGTCCTGACAGGGCTGGGGAGCCAGGGAAGGCTCCGGGCAGAGGCGTGACCAGCTCGCAGTCCCGCTTGACATCAACATGCTCTCCATAATGAAATTGAATGAAAACCTATAATGCAAAAAGCATGCTGAGCCCTGACTTCCGGCTGGGCTATTTGGGCACAAGAAAGACCCAGGTCCAGAATCAACCTACGGGCTAGGTGCAGAAACTGCCAACCCAGAGGGAAGCCCCCAAGCCGAGGCAGCTGGGCCTTGAAAGCCAGCACCTCTGAGCAGCCCCCAGACACATCAGTAGCCCCGGTGCGTCTAGAGGATCCCTGTCCCCAGGCGTGGAAGGGGCCACTCACCTGGGAACCACAATGACAGCAGCAGCAACAGCAGCCACACGAACCAGTCTCAAGTCAACCGCCCAAAGGGGCCATGTGCCATGTAGAACTCCACATGTGACAGTGGAGAAATACAACAAGGTCACGAGTGCCTCCAAGCACCTGTCATCGTCCAACTAGGAAAGCGAACCCTTTGTTCATGCAGCTCAGAAATCAAATTTCTGGAAGAGATGCAAATGAGAGAGACCAAGAGAGGGCAAGGAGGCTTTCCTTCACTGGCAGGCAGCGGGAGGGAAGGTAGGAGAGAGGAGGCTAGCCTCATGCTGGGGACAGGCAGCAGCTAGGAGACTGTCACAGAGAGGGGACTCGCACATGAAGAGAAATGCTCAGATGGGAATTTGGGGGAGCTCTACTGTGTCCTGTTGGATTAAGAGACCCCTGCACACATTGTCTTCCACCTGTCTGGGGTCTAACTTGTGTTCTCCTCGGGCCAGTGTATAGACACTGGGCTCAAGGGGGCCCAGGGAGACTGCAGTTATGGGTGCATTTTCCCATTCTATCCTCACAATGAGCCTGTGAAAAGGTGTCATTATCAACCCCACCCCACGCTGGGACAGAGGCTCAGGGAGGCTGGAAAATGGCAGAGGCTCCCCAGCTAGCACAGAAGACCCTGATGGAAACGGGCTGACTCTGGCAGCTAGGCTTACTGAGCAGATAGATAAATGCCCCATCTGTGCAGCTTTGGAGATGAGGGCACCGCCAGGGACTCTGGGTGATCGTGTCTTAGCCAGAGGGAGAGCTCTTAGAAAGGCTGGTACAGGATGGGCAGCACAGGTGATGACGACCACCAAGACAGGGCGAGGCTTTCCCTCTCAGGAAACCAGATCTTCAGAGCTACCCTGCACCACTGCCCCGGGAGCTTCCATCCCTGGACTCAGGGGACGATGAGATGGCCACTTGGTGAAGCCGAAGTCGTCTTTATGGAGCAGGTTGGAACCATCTCCCATGGCAGTCCCAGAGCCAAGGAAACCAGAACCAGGCAAGAAAGAGGCCAGGCCCTGCTCCTGGCTTCCGCTGGGCGGTGGGGGTCCTGGGTGACCTTTCCCTGCCCCACAGGCAGCCCCTTTTCTTCTGCGAGTGGCTGGCAGACTTTGATTTGGGGAAACTGCCTCTGCATAGCCCCTGTCTTGGCGGGACTGTCAGCCAAGGCGTGGTAAGTTGGCCCGAGCCAGGCCGCTGGGAAGCTTTCTCCCTTGCTTTGGGAGCCTAGGCAGAGTTCCTGCAATGCCATCCTCTGAGGGTTTCCTTGGAGCTCCTCCCAGCACAGTCCTGTCTGCTGACTCAGTCCAGAGCTCCGCTGTTTGCTTAAGGCAGCCTGCGGGCCCTGCCCTGCGGCATCGGAGGCCCCCGGTGAGACCACGGGGCACAGCGCCCCTCCAGTCTGCCCCTCCCACTCTTCTTGTCACCGGGGAGCAAGGGGGTCCCTCGCAGGGCCTCTCAGCCCAGACGAGAAAAAGGGCAGAGGAAGCAGAGGGTCGCAGAAGAGAGAGGTGACAGGAGGAAACGCGGGGCGGGTGGCTGCCACGTTTAGTGTCCACCTGGAGTGGGGCCAGCACAGCTTGGGTGTTGCCTCGATCTCTGCGAGATCAGCGTCATTATCCCCAGAGACGGGCATCCAAGCCCCTGTCTAGTCCAAGGCGGAGCCACATTCAAACCCAGTTCAGCCCCTGCACTGCCCACTCTCCCTGAGTCCCCGACACCCACAGAAAGCCCCTGACGTAAATTCAACTCAGCACAGGGCAGTTCAGCTCTGCACCCATGCACCAGCCCCGCGGAGGGCCGGCCCCTGGGCTGGGCACTGAGGTACCGAGTTAGCACCAGGGCACCACCCTTGTGGCCAGGGAGAGGGGCCAGCAATGCCTGCCCTTCCCATTCGTGCCATAGGATCCCCTCAGCTCATCCTCCCAGCAGCCTGTGAGGGCAGAATTACTGGCTCCATTCGAAGCTTAGGGCCTCAGAGTAATCCGCCCACGGTCCCCCAGCGGGGAGATGGCAGTGCCAGGATTTAACTCCACAGGTGTCCTGTTGCCACCCCCTCCTTCCCAGAACAAAACAGATAACACCAGGTGTACCCAACCCCGGGGAACTGTGCTAAGTGTTGTGGTTCTGAGGAGGAAATGACTCAGCAGTCAGGAAGTCTTCCTGGATGAGAAGGCAGTGACCGAGCGGGGAGAATCTCAGCAGCTTCACACAGCCAGGCGGGACACCCCAGCAGAGGAAGGAGAGGCTGGGGAAGAGCAGAGCAGCTGGTGGCCCTGAGTGTGGTGGGAGCCAGAGGGGGGAAACGGTGCTCGTGCCCAGGGCAAGGGAAATAAGAAAGGGGGAGGGAGAGGCAGCACCGAGGGCCTGCGGGCGCTGGGCTGGAAGCACGTCAGCAGGGGGGCCACAAAGGGTGTGGTGGGAGAGGACTGGCCCGTGCTGTGGGAAGTGCTCACACGCACTCACACCCAGTCACACACACACTCATACATACACACAGGCGCGCACACACACACTCATATACATACACCTATACATACACACAGGGACAGGCGCACACACACCCACTCACACATAGGCACAGGCACACACACACACACCTCTACACACAGGCACACTCACCTTTACTCGCACACACTTATACATATGCACAGCCACACTCACACACACACACTTACACACAGGCACACACACATACATACACCTATACATACAGGCACTCACACCCACTCACACACACACATACACACAGGCACAGGCACTCACACCCACTCACACATACAGGCACAGGCACACACATGCACTTACACACAGGTACACTCACCCTCACGCACATGTATACATACTTACACACAAGCACACTCACACACTTATACACACAGCCACACTCACACCCCTCTACATACACACAGGCATACTCGCCCTTACACACACTTATACATACACACAGGCCCACTCTCTCACACACACTCATGTATACACACAGGCACACCCTCACAGACATACTCATAGGCCCACTCACACACACTCATATATACGCACAGGCACTCACACCCACTCTTACACTCATACAGGCACACACACACACCTCTACACACAGGCACACTCACCCTCACTCACACACACTTATACATACGCATAGGTCCACTCACACACACACACACACATAAGCACAGGCACACACACATACAGACACACACAGACACGCTCACACCCACAAACACCTCTACATACACACAGGCACACTCACACCCTCATTCACACATAAATACACATATGCGGACAGCACTTATACATCCTTACACACAGGCACACTCACACATACACCCTTACACACAGGCACACTCACACTTACATGTAGGCTCACCTACACATATATACTCACAGGCATAACCCCCACACACACATGCAGCCACCCCTCCCCCCACACACACATGCACACTCACCCCCACACTCACACATGCATGCACATTCACCCCCCCACACACGCATGCCCACACTCACACACATGCATGCACACTCACCCTCATGCTCACACACACTCGCACACTCACCCTCATGCTCACACACCCTCGCACACTCACCCCACTCACACACTCGCACACTCACCCCACTCACACATGCACACTCACCCCACTCACACACATGCACACTCACCCCACACACATGCACACTCACCCCCCACACTCACATGCACATTCACCCCATGCTCACATGCATGCACACTCACCCCCACGCTCACACACAAAAACACCTCCACACTCACAAACATGCATGCACACTCACCCACACACATGCACACTCACCCACATGCTCACATACATGCACTCACCCCCACACTCACATACACACTCACCCCCCACTCACCCCATGCTCACATACATTCACACTTACCCCCATGCTCACACATGCATGCACACTCACCCCCACATTCACACATGCATGCACACTCACCCCCACACTCACTCACCTCCATGCTCACACACATGTACACTCACCCCCACACATGCATGCACACTCACCTTCACACACACGCATGCACACCCCTGCACTCACACACACCCATGCTCACACATGCACACTCATCCCCATGCTCACACACATGCATGCACTCACCCCACACATGCATGCACTTACCCCCATGCTCACACACGCATGCACACTCACCCCCATGCTCACACACATGCACACTCACCCCCACACTCACATACATGCTCACCCCCATGCTCACATATGCACACTTACCCCCACACTCACAATGCATGCACACTCACCCCCACTCACAATGCCTGCACTCACCCCCACACACATGCATGTACACTCACCCCCACTTTCACACACATGCATGCACACTCACCCCCACACTCACACACATGAATGCACACTCACCCCCACGCTCACACACATGCACGCTCACCCCCACACTCACACACATGCATGCACACTTGTACACTCACCCCACTCACACACATGCATATACACTCACCTCTTGCTCACACACACATGCATGCACACACACACCCCCATGCGTACACACACATGCACTCACCCCCACGCTCACATACATATGCATGCATACCCCCCATGCTCTCACACACACATGCACACTCACTTCCACGGTCACACACACGCATGATCATATGCATCCACACATCCACATATGATGTCCTCATGCACAGTGGCAAGGAGTCTTTCTCCCAGAGCAACCCTTGTTGGGGGCCTGCACCAACACCACTGTTACAGCCTGGAATGGTGTCCAGAGACCCCCACCAGGGCCCATCCCCCGAGCAGCCAGGCCACTGCCCGGAAGGCCAGCCGCAGGTCAGCCCTGTGGAATGCAGAGCTCTCAGACCTACGCGGTCACTTGGCCATGACCAGTGTCTGGCTCTTTGCCTCTCTTTGTTCTCTTCTTAGGTTTTAACTTTCCAGAGTGATCCTAAAGGGCCAGTTACTCTGCTTTTAGGGGGCCTGGGTGGTCAGGAGGCAGATCAGAAGAGGAAGGCAAGCGTGCAGGTGCCCCGCTGGCCCTGCGAGGGCACAGCTCTGGTGCTGCCCTCATGCCTGGGGTGGGTGGGCACCTCAGGAAGCCCGGGAATCCAGCGGCCAGGCCTGGCATCCTCACCCCCAGCCCTGTCACCTTTGCCCCAGTTTTCTCGCCTCCAACTTGGACGTTTTAGAGCAGCTGAGTTTCATCTCAGGGAAGCCCTGCTCCCTTGGCACAAGCCTCGTTTGTTTCCTGCGGGATTTTTGATATGGGTTAGAAACCAAACTTCCTACTCAGCAGTGTGAAAGCCTTGATGGCCGGAGTAGACGTCTGGTCAACAATTTTATTTCCGTATGAGAAGAAAAAGCTGGAGCCAGGATTTAAATCCCTCGGTCCCTGGGTATCAGCTCTGTGGGACCAATTCACAGACTCCCGGAGGGTTTAGCCGATCCAAGCTGCAGGGGGTTCGGCTGGAGCCCCCTTTATTAAAAAGTGCAGCCCCTGGTGATGTGCACCCACATTCCTTCGAGAGTCAGTTACGCATCTTACAGCAGAGGAAATGAGGGACAACATGGCAGCCCCAGTGGCACCGGCTGCAGAAGCCCAGGGAGGCTCACAGCCAGCCTGTCTGCTGGCCCCGCCTCCTCCCAGGCACCGGCTGGGTTCCATCCAGGCAGGAGCGGTGGCCTTTTGGCTCAGGGTTTCCTGCCTCGGACGGCTGCATCCTTGGACCCTGATGGCCAAAGCACACATTCCCCTCAGCCCTGTGTGACCAGCCACACTCTTCCTGGGGTCCAGCTGCAGCTGAGAGCCCAGGTGTGGGACCTACCCAGTGGTATCCTAATTAGCTCAGGTGTGACCCATAAGAGGGACAGTGATAACCGGGCACACAGAATGGGGAAGGACCCAGATCTCCTCGTCATTGTAAGAGTGGGCATCTGCTGAGCGCCCCCATGTGACAAGACTGTACCAAGCATTTGGGGTGCATTTAGGCCTCCCCACCGGCTCATGAGACAGGTCCTCTCCCCTGACACCCCAGCCACTGCCACGGCAACAGTCTGGTGCTCCTGACTCAGAAGTGCTAATAAAGAGCTTCCTAGTGTCGATGGCAGCTCAGCCCAGGTACAGTCCACCCAGGATACTCCTCCAGGGCCTACAGTGTCCAATTCTCCAACCCAGGAGACCCAGGCGGCGGGAAGAAGGGGCTGGACAACCACATCATCTCCAGCTCTGCATTTGAGATGCATTTTCCTCAAATGCTGCTGCAAGCTACATTCTTCTCTCGACCCAAGAGAAATTATAGACCTTCCTGACATTCCACAGTTGTGAACACTATTTTTAAAATAGAGCCAGCCTCCCGGTTATGGCTCAAATATGACATGCAGCAGGGGCGCTCTGCACTGCTTTACATGCAAGCTGTGAGAAAGGACAGCCCCAAGTGTCATCCTTCCCAGAGTGAAGAAAGAGCCTCCATGGAGGCCACCCTCAGTCACTAGGGGCCGAAGCATGTCTGCAGTTGAGGGGGTCAAGGAACATGCCCCAGATCTCACAGGCTGGGGCTGTCTGGTGTTCCAACTGGATCAGCAGCCCTGAGCTCCAGCCTGTGGGGCAGGGCCACCTGCACGGTCCAGATGGACAGGGTCAGGGATCCTGTGGTTAAAATCCTTCTCCTTAATAACACCCAAGGGAGTTATTTCACCAGACCCTTATAGAGCCTGCAAAAGAATTAGTTACAAATAGCAACATCATCAATGACAGTAGTAAGGAAGAGAAGCATTTGTTAGTATGTGATAGAGGCAAGGTAGAGCTATAGACCCATGTAATGTGCATTATTTAGTTTGGTGCTCACAACAACTAGCAGGCATGCTATAATCCCCATTTTCAGGTAAGACTATGAGGATGAGACAGGTGGGATGGGTGAGGTGACTGTTCACAGCACAGGTTGGAGTAGTGTATTAGTCCATTTTCACGCTGCTGATAAAGACATACCTGAGACTGGGCAATTTACAAAAGAAAGAGGTTTAATGGACTTACAGTTCCACATGGCTGGGGAGGCCTCACAATCATGGCAGAAGGCAAGGAGGAGCAAGTCACATCTTACATGGATGGCAGCAGGCAAAAAGAGAGTTTGTGCAGGAAAACTCCTGTTTTTAAAACCATCAGATCTCATTTGCTATCATGAGAACAGCACAGGAAAGACCCACCCCATAATTCAATCACCTCTCTCTGGGTTCCTCCCATGACACGTGGGAATTGCGGGAGTTCCAATTCAAGATGAGATTTGGGTGGGGACGAAGCCAAACCATATCAAGTAGGAGGTGGAGCTGGCAAGCCTGAATCACTGCAAAGCCACCTGGTGACCACCCAGGTAGACTTGGAGCATGACGCCATGTTCCTCCTCACCCACCCCAGTGCATATGAACATGCAGTGAGCTTCTGATGTGGGCACCCAGCCCTGTGCTGCACTCTTCTGTGCCCCATGCTTCCTGCATCAAAGTCATAATTGCCTGGCATTAGGGTTTTTACAAGAATTTCGAAGAATTCTCAGTGTCTGCACTTAGACAAGGTTCGAACTTTCTCTGGGGCCTCCATTCTCGGTTTCTGTAGATCTGGTTCTCTTGGTTCTGTTCTGGCTACTGCACAGAAGTGTGTACAGCTGCGTGGTAGGAGGGGCCATCCCTATGGCTGCGTGGTAGGAGGGGCCAGCCCTATGGCTGCGTGGTAGGAGGGGCCAGCCCTATGGCTGCGTGGTAGGAGGGGCCAGCCCCATTGCTTATTCTGGGAGGTGTTGCTCTCAGGTTCCCTTCATTTCTTCTGGGGTGACAATTTGGTTGCCCCACCTGGCTTTCTGACAGGACGTGAATAACATCCTTAGAAAGTCACCCTTTGCACAGACTCCATTGCTTTCTGAGACATCACACAGATCCTGCCCCTGGTAGCTGGGTTTAACCACAGTCCTCTCTTTCCATGAGGCTTGTAGGTCTACATGGGAGAAAGGAACCACCTTAGCTTTCCAGGATCTTGCCTTCTATTTGGGGAACAGCCCTACAACCCTTTAACCTTCTAGAAGCCACCCCTGGGCACCTGGTGAAAGACATTTTCAGTAAACCTGATGACATTTAAGCCAGCAGGTTCTTGGCAAGCTAAGACACCCCTCCTGGAAGAAGAATGCTGACAGTGTCTCAGTCTCTCAGGCAGGGAAGCCCCGTTGGGGACACTTTATGGAAATGAAGCCCACCTTTAAATGAGGCTAGGAGGTAACTCAATAGCCCTGAAATGCTCTTTTCTCCAGGAGAAAATGCAATTAGGCAGATTTTGATTACATATGAAATTCTAAAATGGTCCTGCAGCTTTTTTCCCTCTTCCTTTAATATATAAGCAAATGAGGGCTCCGTGCACCTGGCAGCAGAACAGGAAGAAGCCCCAGCATCTTAACGTGGTCCAGCCCCTACGAAGGTCAACGCTGAGAGGGAGTGAGAATCAGGATTCTGATGGCGTCTGCCAGTCAGTTTCCAAATTTCAATCTGGAAACAGTTGACCTTGAAGTGCTTTCAGGAATAAGGAAGTACCAAAACCCAGGAGGAGATGCCTGTCATTGAGTGGGCTTGATTTCCATTTAAAAGGCCGCTATTGGCATCAGAACGGGAGAAAGGAGATGGCAATGTATATATGCAAAGACCCCAAAACCAGCACAGCTTTCCTCACTCAGCACCCACTTCCACCACGTGCAGGTTGCCTTCAGCCGTTGTCCCAGCCCCAGTGGGAGGGCAGGGCCAACTCAGTCCCCAGCACTGCACTGTGAGTGTTCTCAATGCACTCGTACCCTGGGGATTTGTCGTTGGAAGAAATAAAGAGAGCCTCTGATTGAGAAGGTGTTGTGCCTGACTCCTTCCCTACAAACACCCACAGCACATCACAGACACAGGACCTGAAGCATGAGGGACTCTGTAAAGTCCTGCACCCAAGAAGCCTGCTGGACACAGAACTCAAGCTCAAGCCCATTGCTGCAAAGCCTCTGTTCTTCCCAGCGGTCCCCAACCTTTTTGGCACCAGGGGCCAGTTTCGCGGAATACAATTTTTCCACGGACCACGGGTGAGGAGGGGATCGTTTCGTCGGAGATTGGATTCTCATAAGGAGTGCACAGCCTAGATCCCTCGCATGCACAGTTCACGATAGAGTTCATGTTCCTATGAGAACCCAATGCTGCGGTAGATCTGACAGGGGGCGGAGCTCAGGCAGTGATGTTAGCTTGCCACTCACCTCCTCCTGTGCGGCCCGTTCCCAACGGGGTTGGGTACCTCTGCTCTACACATCACCAGAAAAGAAGAGTGCAGAGTGTAACAAAGGGATGACTCACTGATGGTGGATGTTAGACACTGCGGCACTGGGTACAAACAGGCTAGGAGGTAGTAGGTCAACCTTGGTTTCCTCAATTCAGCCCAGCCGAATCCAGCATGTCCTTGGGGCCAGGATGCTCAGCCCCAGGCTGTCTCCTCTGAGGCACGTGCTGGAAGGAGAACGACCCCAGCCTCGAAGAACCGGTGGTCTCTCAGGAAAGGGAGGAATGCAACTCACGTTCAAAATGAGCAGCTGAACAGCTTTGCAGTTTGCGAAGCAGACTCATCCCACTAAATTCTTACAAGAACGTTAAGAAAGGACAGCTGTGCCCAGTTTGCAGATGAGAAAACAAATGCACAGAGGAAACTCTAGTTTGATCTAAAAGACTTCATCTGCTTCACCTGCTATGGCACACCCAAAACCAGTTTTTGTTTTGGTTTTTACTAAAATTATCTCCAATACCACTTCCAACTTCATCCAGTGATTTATATTTCCAAATGCATATTTTAATGTTTACAAGACTGGCTGATTTTAACTCCAAAGAATTCAGCCCCAAACATCAAAAACAGTGTTTTCATAATACAGAAGGAGGGGATGGAAGAGACTGGCTTACATTTTAAACGTTTTTTGTGGGGTTTTTTTGTTTTTTTTTTGTTTGTTTTTATTTCTGCAGCCAAGCAAAAGTTGAAGGAACCAGTTAACATATTGATTGCTTTGAGCACTATTTCAAATTAGTTTTCCGTTCTCCTCCATATGCTTTTCCATTACATTTAAATAAATTAAAGTTCACTTCTCTGGAAGAGACATGCTGGGCCTCCTCGGATTTCTCAGATGGGTCCACGCTGTCAGAAATTCATCAGCAACACGTGCTGTTGGGCACGGGATGGGCCGATGCAGGAGCTTCTTGCTCTTTTTCCCCCTGCGTTTTTTGTGGGAACAGCACTGCCACCCTGGGGACCAGCCCAGGCTGCCGCCTCCACCCGCTGACCCAGAGAGGGGCTCAGGTCCTGCTTGTGGCCACAGAGGACTGCTGGTTTCATCTGCTCCCTGTCACCAAGATGCCCAGCTGGCTTTGGTTGGGCAGCCTGTGGCTCCTTCCCTGATCCCACCCCAAGCGTGTGGCAGCCACTCCCTCGCCCCCATGAATCTGCACGATGAGATGACTTATAAAAGTTAAGAAGTAGTGAGTAGTTCTTGCAGTCCTCAGGACTCTTGCGTTGCAGGTCAGAAACCCATCTTGGACAAACTCCATAGAATTGCCTCACTAAGACCAGGGCAGAGTGGGCTTCCGGCTTGAGTGTATCCAAGGATTCACTGGGGTCTGTCTGTCCTGGGTCTCCCTCTCTCCCTAGTGCAGATGGGCATGGGGCCAGGGCCCCCTCTGTGGGTCCTCTGATTTGCTCACCAACGGGGCTCTACCGGCTTGGTATGAGACAAAGGCCATATTGCCCCAGGGTCCCCAGTGTGCCCTGAACAGAGCAGACTCTCCAACCCTCTTCTTTAACTGAAGGCCCTGGAACATGAAAACAACCACCGACCACCCCTGTTGACCCCAGGATCCTGGGGTGAGAACTTAAACCAAGTCAATAACAGCAGGTGACACTGCCAGATCCTTTAAGATAGACTGGTGAGGGGGTCCCCAAATGGGGTCTGACAAGGAGCAGCAACAGTGGAGCCTGAGAGAAAGTCACCAGAAGTGAAGGAGTTGGCCAGCTGGCCAGACAGAGAAGGTGGTCCAGATAGGAGGATGCAGAATGAGGCTGACTGGGCCACGCCTTGACACGGTATTTACTCCCTCCCAGCCTCCCACAGCAGTACCTATGAACTCTGGAGAGAAGAGGCTGCAGTAGAGAGGGGTGAGTGCTTCCCTAGGAGCCAACAGCCTTGCTAGGGAACCTGTGCCCAGTCCCTGAGGTGGTATCAAGATGGGGACAGAGTGAGGAGGCAGAGGAGGAGCCGTGGCATCAAGGCAGAGGGGCTGGGCACCGGGGATCTGGGAGCGGAGTGGAAGTAGACACTCGGAGGGCTTTGGCAGTAGCCTAGGAACAGTGGAGCATGGTGGTCAGTGGGCAGCAAGAAGAGGAAGGCAGCAGTTGCTGGAAGGGAGGGTCTGCAGTGTGGAGACCCACAGCAGTGGTTCCACATGAAGACCCCACCCCACCGTGGCAACTCCCAAAAGGAATAAATGGATAGAAGAGCCTGGGAAAAACAAGCTCCCCTGCTAATCCAGGATGTGGGAACTGGAAGTGTGAGATGTGTGGTTTGCTGCAAATGTGACATATTTTCACCAGGAGGTGAATTTTTTTCAGACACTCCCAAAATAGAATTTTATGTTCACCTGGCAATATATCTATAACTAGCATACATGATTTTTCTAAATGTGTAGATTGAATTTCTAATGTTCCATTCCTTGGATTTCTGCCTAACGGGGGTGTACCTGTTTGGCCGATAAGAGGAGGTTCGCACCCCCTCCGGTCCCCCAAGCCCCTGCCCACTTCTAGTCCTGGAGAATTGAGAGCATTATCAGCATTCTACAGCCTCCCAGAGTCTGTTGACTCGGTGCATGGTCCACTCTGCTGCGGAGGGAGGGAGGGAGGGAGGGAGGGAAGGGGGAAGGAGGGAGGAAGGCAGGCAGGCAGGAGGAAGGAAGGCAGGAAGGCAAGCAGGCAGGCAGGCAGGCAGGCAGGCAGGCAGCCAGGCAGGCAGGCAGGCAGGCAGGCAGGAATTCTTTCTCCCAAATTATTTAAACCATAGCCCTAAGATGGTGACTATTTTTGTTTTTCTCCTTGTGGGTTTAATGGCTAAATATACTCCACTGAGTAGATATGCCACAATATAACTCTTTTCTTATTTTGGGACATTTAGGTCATTTCTGTTTCTCTATGTTTTCTTTTACTATTTATAAATAGTATGTTTAATGGGGATGGAGGGAGGGAGGGAGAAGGAAGGAAGGAAAGGAGGGAGGAGGGGAAGGGAAAGGAAGGGAAAGGAAGGGAAGAGAGGAAGCAGGGAGGGAGGGAGGGAAGGAAGGAAGGAAAGAAGGGAAGGAAGGAAGGAAAGAAGGGAGGGAAGGAAGGATGGAAGGAATTCTTTCTCCCAAATTATTTAAACCATAGCCCTAACACGGTGACTATTTTTGTCATATAAATAGTATGTTTAATAATATGTAATAATATAAATAATGTGTTTAGTAGTAAAACATCATTTTACTATTAAAGATGATGGCGAGGATCTTAGTGCATGTGGCTCTTGCTCCCATTTGATCGTCTCCTTAGCACAGAGTTTCAGATGGGGAATAAGGAGTCAGGTTGGACAAATCTTTATGGTTCTTGCTTCATATCTCCATTTTCCTTTCCAATCACATTATCCCTACTGAAAATGCTGCAAGTATCCTGCAAGTATCAGTGAGTTTGACCGCTTCCCCTTAGCTTCAGTGGCTCAAGATCAAACTGTTCAAAATAACTAGTTTTTAAATTAATGCAAAATGGTATCCCAAGCTCTATCTCTTTAATTATTAACAATTTGCTCTTCTCTCATGAATGCTTTATACAGCCTCTGCTTTGTTATTTTTGGGAGTCTGCATATTTTTATACATTTGGGTGAGCTCTTTAGACATTATACCTGCTCATTCTTTGCCAGTCATATTTGGCAACGATGTTGTTTTCATTTTCGGTGTAAGTGTTCTCCCAGTGTGTTGGGCCTTCATTTTTTTTTCTGTTACTGTCATTATTTGAAAGTTTGTAGACCTTCCACATTCAACTCAATCTTTGTCTTTGAAGTTGTTTCTACTGCTTGTGAGATGAGCAATTCATCCACAAATCTGATAAATATTCTATTTTCTGTTCTGCTTGTTTATCTAAAATTTAGTTTTTCATATTTAACACTTTAATCAACCTTGAGTTTATTGAGTGTATGATGTCGTGTGGATCCAACCTGGTCTTTTATCCTAAATGACTATTCCATTATCCAACACAATTCAAAAGCACTTCCTCCTTAGGGCTTGTTTTGGAGAGTGGACTTGACCATGTGTTGATCTGCTTCATACCCAGGCCTGTTTCTGGATTCCCTGGGCTGTCTTGTGGTGTCTTTGTGCAGGAGCCAGCTCTGAGCTCTCAATAGCTTTGCTTTATCATCTGCTCTTGGGTGCGGCTCAGCCCACACCACTGTCCCTCTCTACCCCTCACTTTGTTGCTCTTAATTTCAATAACATTCTTTGAAAGTTTTGGCTGTTTCTTTGTTTCACACAAGACTTCAAAGCACATTGATTTTAAAACGCCTTTAGGGGACTTTGATTGTAATTGTATTTATAATCCATACATGAACTTGAGGGAGGATAGACAACTATTCAATATTTTATCTTGCTGACCAAGAACGTAGTCTAATAAACTCCACAGTCTAATAAACTCCCTTTTAAAATTAGCTTGAATAATTCAGTTTGAGGGGCTGTGTTCTAGTCCCAGCTGTCCTCTGTCTAGTGGAGGAATTTCAGACAAATTTTCCTTTTCCTCGGCCTGACCGTGAGGGGATTGAGCAGGTTTATTGCTTAGGAAAACAGCAAATACTTGTTTTTCTCTTATACCCCATGCTCCTCGGGGTCACCCAAAGGTTGTCTTCTTTCTTGTCCTCCAGGACACTTTTGGTTCATTGTCCTCCTTCCCTCTAGGGAAGAGCTCTCTGCTCACCTTCACCGTTGGTCACATCCCCTCTGTCACTTAAGACCTCTGCACCTGCCACCACCTGCCTCACACCCAAATGCAGCCATCACCCTAAACAACTGGGCCCACATGGATAGCGCAGGGGATGGCCTGCCTCCTCCTTCCTTAATCCTCTTGCCTCCAAGGACTTTAATCTCGGCTCCACCTCAGCCCCCTCCTGTCATCACAAATCTGAAACTGCATTGCCTCTAAATCAACAAATTCACACCATCTCCATCTCTTCAGCCTGAAGGCTGATGTGACCTCGCTGTGACTGCACTGCCTGGCTGAGACCCCTGTCACTGTCTCACTCCCCAAGGCTCCCCACCATATTCACTTTCCCCTTGCCCAAGTTATGTTGAATCTACCACCATTACTATCTGCTACTCACTGCCGTGATGCAACTAGAGCCCCTGGGCCGTCCCGGTGTCTGCCCCACTGACCGCGTCTCATCGTGAGCCCCTCCAACCACGATCATAGTGTCCCATCCTGGGGCCCTTCCTTCATGCTATGAATTGAATTGTGTCTCCTCTGAACTGCATAGGTTGTTGAAGTTCTAACCCACACTGTGATTATAATTGGAGATAGGGCTTTAGGAGGTAATTAAGACTAAGCAAAGTCATAAGGGTGGGGTTCTCATCGATGAGATTAGTGACCTTGTAAGAAAAACAGGAAGATTTCTCTCCTCTCTCTCTGGATGTGAGGACATAGGGAGTTGGTGGCTGTCTGCAAGCCGGGAGGAGGGCCCTTGCCAAGAACCAAATTGCCCTGCACCTTAATCTTGGACTTCTAGCCTCCAGAAGTGTGAGAAATAAATGTCTGTTTAAGCCACCAGGTCTATGATTCTTCATTATGGAAACTCGATCAGACTAAGACATTCCATTTAAAAATCTATTAAAAATAATATTTTACAATTGTACTGATATAAAGACAAATATATTCATATTATATATTAAAACATTTTCTTCACCTTAAAAATTTATTTACTTTTCTTCTGATAAAAAAGCATGTGGCTGAGCATGGTGGCTCACACCACTAATCCCAGCACTTTGGGAGGCAGAGGAAGGAGGATCACCTGAGGTCAGGAGTTTGAGACCAGCTTGGCTAACATGGTGAAACCCCGTCTCTACTAGAAATACAAAAATCAGCCGGCCATGGTGGCAGACACCTGTAATCCCAGGTACTCGGGAGGCTGAGGAAGGAGAATTGCTTGAACCTGGGAGGCGGAGGTTGCAGTCAGCCGAGATTGCACCACTGCATTCCTGCCTGGGTGACAGAGCAAGACTCCATCTCAAAAAAAAAAAAAAAAAAAAAAAAAAGCAAGAAAGCATTTTCATGGGTCCTAAAAGGTATCTTGGGTCCTGGGCATTGTGCCTCTCAAGTCCGATGGGTAAATCAGTATCACCTCGAGCTCTCGGCCTAAGGACTTTCCCAGTGGCAGCAGCGTACTCAGCCAGAGGCTGCAATGCAGTGCCAGGCAGTTCATGCCCCCGAGAGCAGTCCTCAGCCGAGAACACTAGGAGTTGGGGGACGGATCAGCCCCGCTTCCCTGCCTTGTGGGTAGCACCGCTCTAACGCAGGCCTAAGCTCCCACCGCCCACTGTGGCCTTCCCTTGGCTACACAGGCCCACCTTGGCTTCCCTGCCTTCCTCCCACCCACACCTGTGCCTCATGGTAAACGGATAGCTGGCATTACTTGCACTCAAATCTTTGTCTTAGGGTATGCTTTTGGCAAACCAAACCTAAAACATAATCGTTCTCTTGCACATGCAGTGGAAGCTCTCTAACCCAGCGTCCGCTTCGCAGAGTGGCTGAGTAGCCAACTCTTCCTTTCCCTTGCCTTGCCCTAAACCAAGTGACCTGATGTAGTTGGTGTACGAAGGCTGTCAGCGGAGGGGCTACTTTCAGGTGCCTTCCCACTTCTGCTCCCATCTGTCCAACTGTGAGATTACCCAGAGTCCGATGGCATGGTCCCAAACCTGTTTATGCCAGTTGTATTTGTTGTTGTAGTTATGTAATGTATTAGTCCGTTCTCACACTGCTCTAAAGAACTACCTGAGACTGGGTAGTTTACGAAAAAAAGAGGTTTAATTGACTCACAGTTCCACAGGCTTAACAGGAAGCATGACTGGGAGGCCTCAGGAAACTTACAATCATGGCAGAAGGCGAAGAGGAAACAAGCACCTTCTTCCTACGGTGGCAGGAGAGGGAGAAAGAGCAAAAGGGAAGTGCCACACTTTTAAACCATCAGATCTCGTGAGAACTCACTCATCGTTAGAACAGCAAAGGGGAAATCTGCCCCCACGATCCAATCACCTCCCACCAGGCCCCTCCTCCGATTCGACATGAGATCTGGGTGAAGACACAAATCCAAACCATATCATGTAATTTCCTTAAATATTAGTTAAACCAATGAAATATAAATGTAAAAAAGAGAGCTGCTGCTTCTATGAAAACTAAGTTGAATACTCAGGTAAGACTTGGTAGAGATAAGTTGCTAAAAATGCTGTCCATCAAATCGATGGGTAGGTTGCCATCTGTGAGAGACTGGAGAAAATGATAAAAACCTGGAAGGAGTCTAAGACACATCGCTCCACAGTATTTACGCTCTTTTTCCACTTAAAAGTGAAGCAAAACTAGAAATCGTAGATCATGTGCTGTGGACGTGGTTGGCCTGAGGGAGGGGGAGGGTGCAGGTCTTCTCTGTCCCTGCGTTTCCAAATCCACCCTCCCTCCTTCCCTGGGCCTTGGTGGGGAGAGGATGCATCTCACACCTACATCAGTGTCCAGCTCCAGTCCTCGCCCCTCTCCCCGAGCCTGGAGAATTTTCTTTTCCCTTGTGGTAAAAAACAAGTAGTCATCAAAATCCCTTATTAGGCCAAAATTCCAGCATTTGAAAACTCCAGGCCAGATTCTTCCTCTCCAGCCAACCCCAACATCCCTCTAAACAGGGGAAGGGTAAATGGATGAAGGAAAATGTTTTTGTGAGTTCAGTCTGCTATTTTTTTTTAATATTTTATTTCATTTTATTTTATTTTATTTTATTTTATTTTATTTTATTTTTTGAGATGGAGTCTCACTGTGTCGCCAGGCTGGAGTGCAGTGGCGCAATCTCCACCCACTGCAACCTCTGTCTCCTGGGTTCAAGCGATTCTCCTGCCTCAGTCTCCCGAGTAGCTGGGATTATAGGCATGCGCCACCAAGCCCAGCTAATTTTTGTATGTTTAGTAGAGATGGGGTTTCACCATGTTGGCCAGGATGATCTTGGTCTCCTGACCTCGTGATCTGCCCGCCTTAGCCTCCCAAAGTGCTGGGATTACAGGTGTGAGCACTGCGCCCAGCCTCAGTCTGCTATTTTTAAAAGGCACCACGGGGTTGGGTGACTATTTTTTTGAGACAGGGTCTCACTCTGTCATCCAGGCTGGAGTGGCACAATCATAGCTCACTGCAGCCTCAACCTCCCAGGCTCAAGCGATCCCTCTGCCTCACCCTCCCCAGTAGCTGGAACTACAGGCACACTCTACCATGCCTGGCTAATTTTTAAAACTTGTTTTGTAGAAACAGGATGCATCCCACTATGTTGCCCAGGCTGGTCTCAAATTTGTGAGCTGAAGCAATCCTCCTGCCTCGGCCTCCCAAAGTGCTGGGATTAGGGAGTGAGCCGGCGCAGCTGGCCAGGACTGGGTGACTTTTAAACAACAGAATTGATTTCTTACAGTTCTGGAGGCTGAAAGTCCAAGATGAGGGTGCCAGCACGGTCAGGTTCTCCGGAGGGCCCTCTTCTAGGCTGCAGACAGCTGACTTCTCCCCATACCTTCTCATGGTGGGAGCAGGGGGAGGAAGCTCTCTGGGGTCCCTTTTATAAGGGCCCAATCCCATTCATGAGGGTCCACCCTCATGACCTAATCACATCTCAAAGTGCCCATACTGGGAGTGGATTTCAACATATGAATTTAAGGGGGACGCATTTAGTCCCTAACAGAGAACTGCAGACAAGCAGCCTGCCACACCTAGGTAACTTCTCCCAGCCTTCCTCAATCCCCCACTCTAAATGTGCCATCCACTGCTCCACATCCACCCCTCTCCTGGTCCTTTGCAGTCTAGCTCACGGTGCCCCGTAAGACACCCTCAGCTCCAGCGTCCTGCGGGAGGGACAGCACCTTCCTGCTTCCTGCAGGCACCCAGCATTAGTAGCAAGCACGTGCACCTGCTCCCCAAACACCCCCAGGTGAGCAAGCAAGTGAGGAAGGAAGGCCCCTTCCCGTGCGGGCATTGGATGCTCCTTTGATCTTAATTGATTTCATTGCAGAGGCAGGCCTGTTCCTGACCTTGTTAGCAAATTTCTTACCGCAGGCCCTAAGCAGGCACCATAATTGGAGGGTTGTCGGAGCCTTGGAATCTGCAGACGCCAAAGGGACACCGAGAGGAGGAGGCAGGCATAGGATGAGAAGATGGCAGCTCCTGAGACCCGGCTGTCTCAATCTCCTCTATGTTTTCTGCCTTTGGACTCTGTGGTGATGCCGGACGTTACCAGCAGGACGGAAGAGAGAGGAATACCGTGTGCAAGGGCTGGTAGTGATCACTGTCACCTGCCTCTGGAGGGCCTAAAACAGGCCTGCAGGTCATCTGGCTCCAATGCAGGGCCAGGGTGCATTCTGAGGCTGGAGGCAGGACCTCAGCTTTAGAGAGGGCAGGGGCCTAAACCTGGGATGAGCATTCATCCTAGGTCAGGCTGAACCAGCTCAGTGGCCCCTCCTAGCAATCCAATCACTGGGAGACATCGTTCTCATTACAGCACAGCTGCAGGCACCCACCTGTGGTACCCTCAGCCCAGGTAAGGTCTAAAGAGGTCTCTCCTGCTACCTGCAACTTCAGCTCCTCGCAGGTTCATTCTTGGCTCAGTTATTAAGCTTGTCAGTTTCTTTCTTTCAGGTTTGGCTCCCAGTAGACTATAAGCTTGGTAAAGGCAAAGACCACATGTTATGGTCTGAATATGTGTCCCCCTCAAATTCCTATGTCGAAATCCTAATCCTCAAGGTGATGGTATTAGGAGACAGGGGCTCTGGGAGGTGATTAGGTCATGGAATGGAGCCCTTAGAAATGGGATTAGGCCCTTGTAAAAGGGACCCCAGAGAGCTCTCTTCTCCTCTTTCTCCGATGTGAGGACACAGGGAGAAGTCAGCAGCCTACAGCCTGGAAGAGGGCCCTCCCCAGAACCCAACATGCTTGCACCCTGACCTTGGACTTCCAGCCTCCAGAACTGTGAGAAATAAATTTCTGTTGTCTATTGTAAGTGCTGTAATAATCTATAGTGCTTGGTTATGGCAGCTCGAAGGACTAAGATACCATGCTGTCTGTCTTGGTTTGTGCTATAGTTCCAGAGCCTAGCACAGTGCCTGGCACCAAGTCAGTGCTCAGGAGATGCCCCAGACCAGGAGTCAAAGGCAACACCTAGTCCACAGCAGTGGGTGACTCAGGGCCCCAGGCACAAGCCCACTTCCTAAGGCTGGAGGAAGCCAACTTGTGTTTCTTCTCGTGGTGCTATAGTGACCCATCTGGAAGCCCTGATGCTTTGACCAAATACACAGCACATTTGGAGCCTGCCTTGTGCAGACACTTTGAAATTTTCCCAATACTATCTTAAAAATTAAAAATTCATCTCGTGAAAAATAAAAGGCAAGTGTAACTAACAGGGGAAATTTGGCTCTGTTGCCTGAAGGCTGATGAGGAACAGCTTAATGTGCCACTGGAGAACGTTTCTGCCGTCTCGTGTTGTGCGGAGAACACACTGACTGCGAAAGCCTCTTACCTGAAGCTCTCGGATCAATACATTTATTTTTGTCCCTCCCCTGGAGAACAGCTCTCTGTGGAGACCTGGCCTTTCTCCTCACCTGTGGGGATGCTTTCAACTCAGTTTGCATGGGGAGAAGTCCCTCAATCCTCACTTTCATTCCAACTTCTCTTCTGTGGCCTCCAAGTAATAGATTGCTGGGCTCCCTGTAATAGATTGGAAAATTAATCCTTTTTGGCTGCACCCACCCCCTTGTTACAAGCTGGTGATAAGATCAAAAAATTCCATACCTTAGAGGTGATGGATACACAGAGAGGCTTCGTGTGGTTTATCAGCTTCTCTATCTGGGGCAGATTTTATAACTTTGCTCTAAAATTCCCACAATGCTAACAGTCCTACAACCCTGGGCATTTCTCTCCTGTGACCTCCATCCATGATTTCACTAAAATAATTTCTGATGTTCATCTGGGAGTGGACCGATGGTTGCACCAAAGTCAAAAAATGCACAGAGTTGTTTCACACACACTGAGACACAGGACAACACACTTTGAAGCCCTCAGAACCCTCATGACACCTGAAGCCTCACATCCTGAGTGAGTTGTGGCAGACAGAGTTCCTGGTCCCAGCTCTCTACTACATGACAGCCTCATGATGAGCAGAGCATGTTTCCCTGACCCTTGACTTTGGTCTTGACCTTGAGACTTGCTTTGGCCAAAGCAAGTCTCAACCCAGCCCCAGCATGCAGAGCCTGGGGAGTGCTTGGACAATAAGTTCTGCTCTCTCATGCTGGTGATCTACAGTGAGAACATGCTCCAGGAGCTGCTCTTCCTTCAGCCAGGGCCCCAAAAGGAGACACATGGAGGTGACCATGTGCCCTGGGGGCTGCTGGTCAAAGGAGGATATGTGACACGTGGGCCATTCCTGATCCCAACCTACAGCCTGGACACTGGAGCCCAGAGCCCAGAGCCAAAAGTCCAAGCTAGCCCAGTGGAGTTGCAGCAGACCCCAAAACCAATGGGACCAAGAATAAGTCATTGTCGTTTTAGGTTTGGAGTGGTTTCTTACACAGTGTTACTGTAGCAATAGCTGACTGATACAATATTCAAGCTCATACAAAGTCTACTCATATGCTCAGAGCACACACAGGCACTCAAGGAACACTATCCCTGCCCCCACACACACCTTTGTAGTGAGCATATAAGGTCATTGTCCCAGGAGCTGGAAAGGTCCCCCTCCCCTGCCCACCTGCGGCCCACTTTCCCCAATGCTGCCAGAGCACTGCCTGGTCTTCCAGAGGCCAATTATGTCTTTAGCATCCACCACTGTGCAGCTCAGAGCTCCACGCCCTTTATCTTGTCAAGTTGTTTTTATGTCCTTTCTGCCAAGAAAGTGTTGCTTTTGAAGCCCTGGCAGCTTGCTCCTTTTTTCCTTTCTACTCCAGTTGTTGAATGCGCGTCAGATTTGTGACATCCCATTCTCCCAAGGGGAAAAATTACAGCTGGGATGTATGCAAACGAATTCTCAGAACACGAATCTTTCACGTCCTTGCTGTTGGCGGCCCCTCTGCCGGCCCTGCTTCTCCGATTGCAGCTGCTGCTGCTCCGGCAATGAGCCGGAAACGGATCCATCCTTACATCTGAGGGTAGTGGGTAAACCCCGTTCTTGGTTGCAGCCAGTGAGGGGAAAAAGTCAGGGCTGGAACACACTCAGCCTTTCCCTCCTCTCAGAGCCTGGAGTAACGGGGCTGGGGCCTGGGCGGTCTGGCTTGGGATGAGCAGCCTCCCCAGCTTCCCAAGGCCAGAGCTCCAGCACGTGGAAGCAGCGTCAGCTTGGGCAGGCTTTGGAGGGGCCTGAGAAGCCCATCAGCCTTACTGGGACCCCTTCTTAGCTCCCTCTTCTGCGAAGGAGGACTTGATGCTGTCTACAGAGTGGACTGTGTCCTGGCACAATCTGGAAGCAGAGGAGGTGCTGGAGGAAACAGGCCGAGAGGTTCTGCCTGGTGGAGGCTGTCACAGTGCCCTGTGCAACATTGTGAGGGATGGCAAGCATGGCTGGGTGTGCTCCCCACCCCAGGAAGCTCAGGGAGGGTCTCCCTGGCAGAGAAGGTTTAACTTGAGTCTTGACGGATGAGTAAAGACTCCTGGATGAACGGTCGGGGAAAGGCATGCAGGGAGAGGGAACAGCATATGCAGACAGCACGGAGGATGCAAGAGTCTGACTTAGAGACTCTTAATTAGAGAACTATGAGGAATTCAGGGGCCCCTGAGCTCTGGGTGACCTGGGGAGGGCGGTGGGAAATGAGGCTCAGAAGTCAGCTGAGGCTGGATCTCTAAAGTGCCAGACTGATGGATTTGGGTGTTTCCAGTTAGCAATAGGGAGCCACGGAAAGATTTGAGGAGGGAGAAGCAGGACCAGGCTTGCTTTCCCATCCCATCCCGCCAACCACAGAGTGGAAGCGGATCAGAGAAAGGCAGGCCTGGGCCAGGCAGGCAGCTGCAAGGGCTCTGGGAGGAGGTGGCCAGGTTCGGCCTGACGAGGTGGCCCCGGCTGTGGAGGGAGGAGATAGAGCCGCCTTCCCTCCTCCTTCAGCCTCTGCCCACCTTGATTCGCTCACCCCTGGTCACAGCTCTCGCCGCCTGTGAAGACAAGCAGGTGCCCACTGCCCGCTGAACTATGAAATCGGCTCAGCCTCATCCTCAGCTTCACAAGAGCCACATCCAGAGAATTGCCAGTTCAATGCCTCTCAGATTTGTCTCTCCCCTCCCTTGGCCGACACCTTCACCGGGGCCCTCATCAGCTCCCATGGCCCCTGTATGGGGTGACTGGCTCAGGCCCCTGGGGTTCCCACTTACTCCTGGAACCTGTTTCTTTTTCCTTCGGTCAGCAACTATTTTTTGAGCAGCCACAGCACACCAGGGCCTGGGGTGCTACGGCTGGAAATAGCAAGCAACACAGAATGGGGCTGTGGCCCCCTGGAGCCTCCCTCCAGGGAAAGACGGATGGTAAACAGTTGCTGCACAACTCTGCATGCAGCCCCCCTAGAGCGGAGGGTGACGGAGGAATGCAGCACATAGGGCTGAGCCGCAAGGCACCAGGCAGGGCGAGGAGCAGCGTGCAGAAGGCTCTGCATGGAAGATCGTGGAGAAGAAGGAAAGGCACCGAAGATAAGGCTGGGGGCCCAGACACGAAGGGCATAGGGGCCATGTGAGGGATTGGAAATCTGCCTAAAAGCAAAGAAAAGTCATCAAAAGCCTTTAACCATGTGGTGTGTCCGAGGGCCCAGGGCAACACGTGCAGGCGTTCCACCTACCACTGGGTGTTAGGCCGGTCACCCCAAGCCTGCCCCCAGGGAGCAGGGAGCCCTCCGTGGGTGTGAGGCAGAACACCGTGACTTGGGAAAGATCTGGCACCTCCTACTCAGGTGCTCAGGGTTGGGAGGGCGGAGCAGGCACCGGGCACCTCGCTTGCTCGCCCATCCTCAGGCAGGGACAGGCAGCTGTGGGCAGCAGTGATGTGCGTCCGGCCAGCGAGGACATAGGACAGCCCAGTGCCCTCCAGCCCCAAAGGGGGTCAGAGAAAGGCAGTAATCAGGGAGAGGTGCAACTGACCCCAAGCCGCTCCAGGGTTAGGAAAGGCCAGGACGAAAGCAGAGGGTGCACTACCCAGAGAAACTGAAATGAGCCGGCTGCCAACACAGAGCTCCTGCCCCACCCCGACCCTACACATGCAGACCTTGACCCCTCAGGCACCCAGTGTCCCCAGCAGATTGCAGTCTGGAAATCAGTCCCCAGGGTCCTCCCATGCAGGCCCCGCAGCCAGGAATTCTCAGTCACCTGCCTGCTGTCCAGCCTCCCCTCAGGACAGCGATCAGGGAGAGCCAGGGAGCCTGGAGGCCTTAGCTGGACCAGCCAAGACCTCCTCCAGCCTCAGTTTCCCCATCTGGGAGGCGACACAGGCATGCTGCCGTGTCCCTGTGGAGGCACAGTTTGCTCTGACCCTCCTGCCTCTCCTTCCTGGCTCTCCCTTCCCTGGAGCCTAGATCCCAGCATCTCAAGCCCCACAGCCTCACTGTCAATGCCCACTCCTGGCTTTCAGACCACAAACTTGAGATTCTTTAGAGTCTGCTCATTTTCATAGTTGGAAATTATTGAATTCAACAGTGTAATTATTTTAAAAATATAAACAGACCAACCACAAACATATGGCAGAAGCAATATATTTTCCCCTGCCCCTGGTTTCCTGGAAAGCTTTTATTACCATTGCTAAAAATATTTGCCCAGGGCTCATTAAAGATCCAAGAAAGAATGGGGCCTGGATCTCCAGGCCTGAGTCCCTCCACTGAGCAGTGCCCTTACTCTGTCCTAGAGTTTCCAAGGGTGACAGGGACATGGAGTCTGCTTTAATGACCTGCTCATGGGGCCACTGGCACTGGGCGGGCAGTGGGGTTGGGTTGCGTTGCAGTCCAGGCGGTCCCCGCATTCATAACAGCTGAGATGCTACCCGGGAAGGGACCTGCTCAGGGACACTGTCATTGGGGCCATTACTTAGGATGTCATTCCACTTTCTCTTGCACTCCCTCCTCTCAGGGAAGCTGGTCTGGCCCCACAGAAGCAGAGGCCCCTGCCCTTCTGTGGGCCCGTAACTAACAGTGGGGAAGGCCTCTGCTACCCTCCTACTGCCCAGGGGGCACCCCTTGTCTCATCTTGCCTGAATCAACCTAAGAGTCTTCCAGAGTCCCTCTGTGAGGCCTGAGTGATTCATTCCCATGAGGGGTTCCGGGACTGAGGGATGCTGGCAAGGACATCCTCTAAGTTGGTCCCAGGAGGTGTTGCCTTCGCTCCCCCTGCCCCCTACCAGCTTTAGGGTTGAAGACTTGGATGATACATAACCCTTCCCCCGGCCCCAGGCCACTGCCTCCTATGTCCAGCCTCCCCTCCCCCAGCCTGGCATCCTGCCCCAACCCCACCTCTGCCCCTCCCCTCCATCCCTAGCACAGGGGCCACTCAGCTTGTCCCTTCCCCTGGCTTCCTCCTGCCTTTCTCTCTTCTAGTTCCCCATGCCCTGCCCCCAGGACCACCTGTGAGTGATCTCCAGCACCCACTTCCTGTGCACGCAGCCACAGGCAGCCCAACTGTCCCAGGACCTCACCTACGCCGACACACATCGCCATCTAATTACAGCAGCCCTGCTGTGAACGCCTGTCCCATGCCAGACACCTTCCATGCATCATTTCTAATCCCCTCAACAGCCCCCACAGGTGGATGCCCTTATTATCCCCATTCTACAGGCAAGGAAACTGAGGTCTACAAAGGTGAATTCACTCTCAAAGCCGCCAGCTACGAAGTGATGGGATCAGGGTGCAAACTTCAGACTTTGTGGCTGCGGGGCTGATTCCACTTTGCTCTGCTGCCTCTTGGATAGCCTGGCCCAGCAGGTGGGTGTGTGTGCACACAGGTGTGTGCATGCCCCTGAGAATGGGACCTTGGGAATGACACTGGGACTTCTGTTTGTGTCTGAGGCCTCTGCAGCACCAGGATACAGCTCATCTCAGGACAGCCAGCAGAAGCCAGGCTGCCCACTCCCAGGCAGTGTAAGTCCTAAATGCCAGCTGCTCTGATGTAACAGAGGACAATGGAGCGTGCCCTGCCTCCCTGAGCCCTCATCCTGCCGTTCACCAGGCCGGGGTTTGCTCAATTTCACCCACAGCTCCAAAAGCCAAAATGCCTGGAGAAGCAAAGCAAAGATGATTTTGCTCTAGCTGCAAAGTCAGAGCCCAGCCCTCAACTGTCAGGCAGCTCAGGAACCTTTTGCTCATGAGGAGAGGTAGAAATGCGGCTTCCAGTCCATCGCTTCATCCACAGGGGCTGACGGAGGAAACAAAACAGACATGTTCTCACTGAGAGTGTGTCCTTTCAGATAACTTGTGGTTAGGATGTTGTTTTAGGCCGGGGAAGCATAAATCTCAGGCATTACATTTTTATTCCTGTCTGTGAGCAAGAATCCTCCTTGAAGATTCAATGCACTTGCAGCTGCCCCGGAGTCTGCGCTTCTCTATCTGCCCAGGGCGAGTGGGCAGGACGGACCGTGCTAACCCAGGAGCAGCTCTTGGTGCAGGGCTCCTTGGCTGCAGGGGAGAGTGGGAGGCTGGGAGCTTGGTGCTCACAGCTGGGGGTGCTTCTCAGACACATGGACGGGCATCAGAGCAGACACAGCCACAGGGAGATCGTGCCTGCGCTGGAGGAGAGAGTCCACCATGGCCTCATGGGTGAGCCACCACTGCCAGTCCCATGGTGATATGCAGGTCATCGGAGCATGTATTGAGCACCTACTATGTGCAAGCACTTTGTGTACATTCTGTTAATTAATCCTCACAATAACTTGGGAGACTGTTTCCATTTTACAGAAAGAAAAGCTGAATTCAGAATGGTGACGTAACTGCCCCAAGGCCTTGCAGCCAGTAAGTGATGCTGTTGGTCAGGTTTGCATCCAGCTGCAAAGGAAAAGTCCAACCCATGGTGGCTTAAAAAATAGAGGGCACATAGGTCTCAAATAAGCCTAGAGATCGCTGGTGGCATGTGGCAGGAAGGCTCGAGAATGTCAGCGCTGTGGGAGGAAGTTTCTAGGATTCTAGGCCAGGGCTGGATCTGCTTCCCCATGGGAGGAAGGGGGCCTCTGCCCAAGACCTAAATAAAGTTGGAGGGTTTCATACGGCGTTGGTGCTCCATGACGGGCTCCATGTGAGTCACACTCAGGCAAAATCCACCCAAAAGGGGCAACCACTGTGGGGCGGAAAGGATGTTACTTACACCGCCCTTGGAAGACATCTCCCCCCACCATTCCTTGAGACCTGTCCATCAAAGACATCTGACCTACAATTGCCCTGATGTGCCCAGGTCTGCCACAGCCCTCTCCATTCTGCTTTCCCCTCTGCAGCAAACAAACACAGCCTGACACGTACTAGGGTTCCTCCTGGAAGGGTCTCTCTCCTTTCTAGAGTATACCCTCCTGGAAGGCAAGCATGGAGTCACACCTCTCGCCACACCCCAGCAAGGCTCAGTAGACAGATGTGTAAACAGCAGGCCCCATTAATTGTTGATTTTTAAAGCAGTCTCACTAAAGTGGCAGTTCAAACATTTGACTTACAATGCTGGCCTCTGGGGAAGCACTATGGTAATTGGGGCACACTTTTTTTACCTCTTTAAAAGGGTTGCACATGTAATATCTGGTAATTATTGAAATATTAAAATAAAAGTAAAGCAATAGAATCCCATTGTTTACATTTTTATACATAGATTTCCACTCTTTCTTTCATACATATGCAGACATAGATTTTCTGTCTTCATTTATTTTCTGTTACAACAGGATACCTGAAACTGGGTAATTTATAGAGAAAAGGAATTTATATCCTATAAAGGCTGAGAAGTCCAAGGTTGAGGAGCTGCATTTGGTGGGGACCTTCTTGCTGTGGGAGCTTTCTTGCTGGTGAGGGCTCTCTGCAGAATCCCCAGGTGGTGCAGGGTGTTACATGGTGGAGGGGCTGAGTGTGCTACTCAGGTCTCTCTTTCTCTGCTTATAAAGCCACCAGTCCCACTCCTGTGATAACCCATTAGTCTGTTAACCCATTAATCTATTCATGGATGAACGGATGAATCCATTCATAAGGACAGGGCCCTCATGACCCAATCACCTCTCAAAGGCCCCAACTCTCAATGCTGCCAAATTGGGGATTACATTTCAACATGAGTTTGGGAGGAAACACATATTCAAGCAATAGCAGTTTTTAAAAAAGAAAACAGATCCTACTGCCTATTCTGTTTTGCCATTTTAGAAAAACATAAAATGCATCCTAAGCATCTTTCCATATTAGTAATTGTTCTCCTTCAACAACATTTTTGGTGACTGGATAGGACTCTATTGTATACATGCTCTATAATTTATATGATCCACTCACAATTGTTGGTTTTCAATGTATTTTTTAATGTCTCACTATTATAAACCATACTTGAACAAATGGCCTTGTAGATGCTTCTTTGAACCCATCTTGAATTCTTTCTTTTGGGTAAGTTCCTAGAGGTAGAATTGTTAGGTCAGAGGGTAAGTACCTTTTAAAGACTTCAGTAAGTGTTTTCAAATTGCCCTCCAGAACAATGAAAATAGCTTCTCCTCCTACCACCAGTAGACAAGAGGGGGAAAGACATCTATTGAAATATTAGCCACCTTCTTGGATCTTTCCTATTGCAAAAAAAAAGACAAAAAATAAAATAGAATTTACTCCCCAGGAGCCCTAGAAGGTTAATGAATTTATTAATTTTGTGTAAATTACTTTCGATATCAAAACATCACTGAGAATATTGTAATGTGCTCAGAATTGGGCTGAGGAGTGGTCCCAGTAGACAGTGGGTGGGTGAGATCAGGCATCAAAGGCACAACAGTTCTCCCGTAGACCTGTTCACATTTAGGAGGAGATTAAAGGTGGGATATGGGGACTGTGACAACATGGGGGCTTCCCTGGGGATCTCCCAAGTTTCTACAATGTTGGTCATATTTGCAGACCTAACTAATAGAGGCCTCCTCTGGCCCTACCAGTGCTCCAAGATTATGACCCAATGGGTGGGTGGACCTACCAAGGGGCAAGGGGCCTAACTTCAGAACTCCAGAAAAGAATACCTGGAGATGACAGACAAGGCTGCTCTTCTGCATACAGCCCTGGGCAAATATTTGGGCTTCTGTGTATATAAACAATTTAAGTCATCCAAAACCAGTGGCCCAATCTCACATAATCCTGCAAAAGAAATGCCATACCAGCCAATAGGAACAATCCCCCCATCAAGCTTCCCTCCTGGAACCAGGCCCTGGGCCTCAGGGATGACCCCATAGGTGGGAGTCCTGTAGCTCCTTGGGACATCTGGTCCACCCAGCACATGGGTGACAGAGCAGAGGGTAAAGAGTTGAAGCATACCTCAAAGGGAAGAAACAGGGTTCAGGGCCCAGGGCCCACATGGTTCCCTTTCCAGGCTTTAGGCTCCCTGCACAAACAGCACGCACAGCCCCAGCTTTTCCCAAGCATTGGAGGGAGATTTATAAAATGTTGAAGAAGGCTCTCCGAAGCTCTAGACTCAGGCAGGATCCCTGCTTGCACAAGTCTAAGGGCAATGTGAACGACAGACTTCCCTCGCAGGCCCATGGTGGGTAAACCAACCATCCGTTATATATAATAGGCAAACACAGACATAAGCATAAGCAATTACCATGTGGTGGATGTTTCCCTGGTGCCCCTCCCACTCTGTCCCCACCTCTGTGCCCCAGAAGGCTGGCCTCCATGGTGTGCACCCTTGTTCCAAGATGTCCCCTTCCAACACAGACGGCAGACATTGGTTGTGTTTTTTCCAAAGCTGTAAATTCCCAAGACCCTTGAGCCAGAGAAAGCAATCAGGGGCCATGCAGGTTGGGAAGGGAGGTGCTAGCAGCTGCAGCCAAGAAGAAATCAGACCCTATTTCATCAGAATCACCACCATTTTTCCATCAGTGACTCCCTTGTTGATGCAGACAGCTTGGCCTTTTCTGATGGGGTGGGGAGCGAAGTCTGCAGCTCTGGGTGTCAGAGGGCTCCCTCATCACACAAGGGTTGAGAGCAGGAAGACACCAGCCACCAGTGCTGCCAGGAAGACTGGCACACATCCAGCCAAGGACTGCAACTGTCGAGGCGCTCTGAGAAATTGGCCAACTCGTCCACCTGGGACCCCATCACCATCTCTCCATCACATGGAGAGATTCTTTCCATGACCTACTGACTCAAGTTGAGTAAATCCCAGAATCTGACACTAGAAGAGTTTGGAGGGGTATAAAAAGTCCATACTATATAGTCCAACCTCCCCACCCACCCCAATTTACAGATGGGGAGGCTTTGCCCGAGCCTCCTCCAGGGCTTTCTCTTCTCACCCAGTTATTGCTGTGTTCTCACTTTCTGCCTTGGCCATAGTGTCAATGGCCACCAGAGCCTTAGTGCTCCATGCCAGGTACTATGCTAACGGCACTACATAATAACTCTGGAAGGTAGGTCACCTTACCTCTGGTGCACTCAAGAAATGTGAAGCTAAGTAACTGAGGCTCAGAGAGGCTACCCAACTTGCCCAAGATCACACAGCTACCCCTTGTTGCCACTGGGATTTGAGCTTCGCTTCAATACCCACATTGCTTTCAATATGTGATACTTAGTGTTTTCACATTGACTGTGACTCAGCACAGTGGGTTTCTAGAGAAGTGAGTCACTTGCTCTAGAATATTATCCCTGTATCTAACCCAAATCCCCTCCTGGGCCAAGGAAAACCCATTTCCTTTTGGGCCCTTGGCTGACTTTAGATCTGCTAAGTAATCAACATAGACCATGGGACGCTTCCATGCACGCACATGCACTCAGCCTTGGCCTCCAAAGCGTTGCCCTTCCATATCCTCCCCACTGTCCAGGCCTCCTCCACCCTCGCTCAGAACCTGTTACCAGCAAGCAGTCCTGACTCTGCACTTCTGCAGGTAGGGTTCCATTCCACATGCCCTGCAGATGAGACAGCACGCTGCCATGAGGACACGGTTTCCGCCTTGCTTTCCTTGGCGTCTGAGGACCCCCAACCCCTGCAAGCTAGCTGTCCCATCCGATTCCCTATCTTTCCCTGTGGTTCTGCAATTTGCTCGCTTCCTCTTGCCTGGGCCCAACTTCAGGGGCTCACTCTCCTAACCTGGGGACCTTTCCTAGCAGCCCTTGGGGAACAAGGTAGGACAGAGGTTTGAGCACATGGGCTTTGGAGTTAGTCACCTGCCAGCCGCTGCTCTGCCAGGTGTGATTTGCTTTTGGAATTTCGGTGAGTGACTCGACCTCCCCAAGCTCAAGTTCATGCTCCTAGCCACACAGGGCTGTTGTGATGGATAAATGAAATAGCACATGTGACAGGGCTTCGGCCCAGGGCAGGGACTCAACACGTCGAATTCTTGTTTCCTTTAATACGTGTCTCAGAGGAACGCAAAGAGGATTAAATGGAATCATAAAGTGCCTAGCACAGTTCCCAGCTCCAGCAGACACTCCATAAACAGAACTTCCTGCTTTCTCCCCACCACCTTCTCCTCTGTTCTAGTGTTTGTTTTAGAGCAATATGGTGGAGCTATTTACTAAGGAGCACCAGCCTGTCTTGGAAGCTGGGGTGGGAGCAGGTGACGGCGGTTTGGGCTGGGCAGGTCAGGGCCTCAACTCAGCTAGGATTCTGTGCGTCTGGGCTCGGGGTGGCTCTGAGGTCAGGCCCGAGGCATTGGAGCAGTGGCCGCCAGCCCATTTTCCATCTCTGCCTGTCCTCCGAGAAGCCTCCCAAATTTACCTCCACCCTGTGCTGCTCTTTAACCAAAGCCCGTTTAGTAGATTCGGTAATCATGTACTCTCACTAAAAATAAACCGGGCCACACAGTCCCTGAGAAAGGAGAGCTCAGATTAGAGGTCAAATTCCTCCCCTCCTCGTAGGGTCCAGAGTGCCCAGGGACAGCAGCAGGGCAGGGAGTCCCTGTCAATCTCGCTTGTTGGGGAGGGCGCTCCAGGAGGAGCAGTGGACAGGCTCCCCGCAGGCCACTGGCTTCCCACGGAGGTCCACAGCAAAGCGGTGGCGTTTTCTTCTCAGGGCTAGCTCTACCTCACGGCTGCTTTCCATCTCCCCAGCGTCAGCTGCCATGAAAGGCCTTTTTGCTTTGGCCCAGTCCCTGCAACATAAAATCCTTGATGGATATTGCAATGGTCACCTCACTTGGGATCCCATTGTTTTTCAGTTTTCCAAAGGGCCATCTCTAGCACGTCACGGTGCAGAGGACAGGAGCCATATAGGAGCCTCTGAGCAGCGTATGTTCAGCACTGATATTTGTCATCGTCCAGTTCTGGTCTCTCACAGCTAGGTCTACTTCTTCTAGAAGGCGGTTGAACAAAGAAGTTGAGCACATGAGTTTGGGAATGAAATGAAACTGAATGTGAGTCCGGCTCTGACATTTAGACACGGTACCATGGGCACCTGCCCCTCTGGCCTCAATTCTGTCATCTGTCAAATGAGAATTCTAGAGTAAAGACATAGTGAACCTACCTCAAGGGGTAACTTACGTGTCAGATAAGCGAATGCATGCAAATGTTCATCATGGCTCTGGCACTGGATGAAGATGGCAGTGTGCATGCATTATCACTGTGAAGACTCTTACTATTATAAAGTGGTTTTGAGCAGGGCTTGAGGGAGAGCATTCCTTCTCTTTTTGGATCGTGATTAGGAAGTTACTCTTTAGGCAAAGGGGGATCAGCCCCCGACCCCACTCATGTCTTCCCACCTCGCATCCCTGTTGCATGGGGTTTCAGAAGGGAAATAAGAGGGCATTTCCAGTAACACGTGCAGGTGGCAGACAGCGCGCAGGGAGCACTGGAGCACAGCACAGATGCCTGTGACGGTCACGTCATTCCTAATGGGGCTCCTACAAGAGAATGGCCTCCTGCACCTGAAGGCAGGGTCCCAGGACAGGACAGGACAGGACAGGGGGACACGCAGGGAGAAGTTTCTGAAAACAACACAGCCAGAGGAGGGGTAGGGGCCTGAAGGAAGGAGGACCTGGCAGAGCAGTGAGGGCCTGAGGGACACAGAGCAGGATGGGCATGTCCCACGTGAGGGAGGACATGGAGTATCTTAGTTGGAGCCCAGGTGCTGGAGACACACCGCCCTCATCAACTCTCAGCTCCACCACCTACCGGCAGGACAGTTGGGGTACCAGTGTGAGCGTCCACTCTTTTTCTATGACAGGGTGTGATAATAGAGCATTTGTCAAGGGACTGTGGTCAGGATTCAGCATGCACAGCCATGGAAAGCCCCACAGCACCAGGCATGGTGGTGAATGGAGCCACGGGTACATCCAGGTATGAAAAGCCACCAGCCACAGCCTCTTCCGCCTTTGATGGCAACCTCCTCCTGCACCCCCAGGCTGCCTCCCGTGGTCTCGCCTGCTCTTCCTCTGTACCTCACTCCCTTCCTCCCATCCTCGCCTGGGAGGTTGAGGCTGCAGTGAGCTGTGATTGTGCCACTTCACTCCAGGCTGGGTGACAGAGTGAGAACTTGCCTCAAAAAACAAAATAAAAACAAAAAAATTACCCAGCCTCAGGTATTTCTTTATAGTGATGCGAAAACAGACTAACATAATTAGTAAATGTATTCTTCAAATAAAGACAAAGAGAAAGAATAAGCAGAGGCAATAGCAGAGAAAAAGACCCAGAAGTGAGGGGGCCTGATATACCCAAAGAATAGAGAGAATTTCCATCTGAGTGGCTCTAAGAATAGAGCTATGAGAGCTAAGTCAAGAAGTGTGGCTGGGTCAACTCATCCTGGGTCAAGTAAACCTGGGAAGCCACTGGGCATTTGCTATGAGCCCTGAGAGCCTATGAGGGTTGCTGGTGGATGGGTGTCAGATCCAGTGGTGTTCAGAAAGGACACTGAGTACCAGGTGGAAGGCACATTGTGGGAGCCACAGTGTCAGCTGGAGAGGAGCGGGACAGTGAGCCTCTGCCACAGTCCAGGCAGAAGACAGGGCTCTGTGGATGAGGGTAATGGCCCAGGGAAGGGGAGCAGTGTCAGAGCCCAGCAACATGTGACAAGGAAACAGTACAATTTGCTGCTGGCTGCTGCCACACACAGCAAGGCAAATTGCTGCTGAACAGCCAGGCCTGGGCCTGGGGACAGACAGTGCTTGGCCTTCACTCTTCAGCCAGCACTTCCCATGGGGGCTGCTCAGCCCTGCCTTGCTCAGGCACAGTCCATTCTAGTGGATGGGGCTGGAGCCGCCTGCCTTGACGGGATTTCCCTCTAGTTCCCCAACTCCAGTGTTGCTTCCTGGGGCCCCAGGTTGGAGCTGATGATTTTAATGGAAAGGATGGTAGATTGCAACTGTGAGCTGCAATGCACAAACAGCCGTAGATGCCTTGTGCTCTGGGTCCTTTTGGAAAGGGAGCAGGCAGAGGAGGCCCAGTAATGAACAGGTTTTCAGCCACTTCCTGGACACCATACTGATGCCTCTCCTCCTGGATCAGGAGTCCATGGAACTAGGCCTCGATTTACCCTGGGGGTCTCTGCTGTGAGCCCGCTGCCTTCTCTAAACCTCACCTGCCTTAGGTGAAAAATGGATCTCCAAGGTCCCATCCTGAATGAATGACCCCACAACTCTCACCTAAGGGACAGCAAACTGGCTCCTGGATTCCACATCCCAGTTCCCTGACAGGGTCACTAGCCAGGGCTCAAGGGCAGTCAGAGCTGCAAGGGTAAGGCTTAATTGCTCCAACTTCCAGTGAGATGACCCTCGTGCCCAGGCCCCTCCCCTCCCCATCCCAGCAGGCTCTATGACTCTGCGGAATCTGAGTGTAGCAGGAAAAATGCAGCAGGCCTGGACCCGCCGCCCCACTCCACACATCCAGGAAATGGACCGTGATACTCGTAATATTACATTTTAATGGTCTGCCGCAGCAAAGGCAGAAGGAAGAATCACTCCTGTGGCGGCAATGGATTAACTCCTTCTTTTCTGGTCTCTTCCAGAGTCTTCTAGTTAAATGTACTGGGGAGGGAGGGTGCAGGTCTTGGTGAGAAGGAATGAAGGGGGTCAAGACAATAAGACTCCAGAGTCTCTAGCTGCTTTACATTCAATCTTCTGGGAGTTTCCATTTTCTACTCTATCTATCAATATGCAGGAATGACAGCTTTTCTTCAAAGCCAACTCATTTTCCTTCCCTGGACTCCCTCAATGTCTATCAGGAGGTCAACTTCACACCCTCAGTACCATCCAGGCCCAAGATTAATAATCCTCCATCAGACAGGAAACCTGATGACTGACATTAGGGGTGCAGTAAGGGAGAGCCATAAACTCTCTTAAAATGAAAATAGCTCTTGAGTGGATCCTAGGGCCGAGAGGGAACCCAGAGATCATCTGCTCCTCTTGAGGTCCAGAGAGGAGAGAACACTCACTCAGCCACTCACACATCAGTGTGGATAAGGGACCGGAGCCTGAGAGATACCATCCCCACCCAAGCACCCTCTTCCTGGGCAATGGCCCTTCCAGTCATGTCCCACACAGTGGTGTGCTGGCAATGTGTATCACATTGATTTGTTGCATTTGCAGATTTCTGTGGTGTAAATACTCCCTCCATGCCCAGTTCTAAGCTATTAATGGGAGGTCACTGGAACAGACTTGGGAAGAGAGGCCCATTACATAGAATCTTCATCAGGCAGATGCAATAGACATAAATAACCTCAAAAGCACAGACCATAGTCAAATCATTAGGATAAGTTTTGAGTAGTTATTACTTTTGTTTTTAAAATAATTTCTTTAAGTATGAGTTTATATAATTGAACTTTTATGACTATATTTAATAACCAGCTCTCAATATTTCTGAATTTGACAGTCAGTTCTTATGAGGCAGTAATGGGTTGGCTCTGGCACAGCTCTGTCTCCATTGTGGTAAGTTGGTGGCTGTATGTCACTTGTATTAGTCTGCACACCTAGGAAATGTCCATTGCGCTGATTTCCTGGACCCCAGTAGGCTCAGCTGCAGATGAGCATTGGCCTGGCCTGGAAGGAAACGCCCCTTCTTCCAGCTTAACTGTTGGCACATGCTTTATTTTCTCATTAATTAGCCTAACTGCTCAGCTCCAATGCTATACTATCTTTTGCTGCCTCTCCAAATGAGCTTGGGTCCTTGAATTCTATGTCCAGTCCCCTGCAGGAATGGCAATTTGGGTTCTAACCATTCATCTTTAAGGCATAGAGCCTCTTCCATCTGATGATCTCCAAGGTGGTCCTTTGTCCAATAATGGCTGCATCCCACCCATCCAAGGGAACATGAGACTCTCTTTTAAGGGGAATAGAAAAAGAACCATGAGATGCCCTCCCTTCAGATGGGAAAGGGTCTCCAGGTTCAGATGAGGCAGGATCCAAGATGGCCCTCAATGATTCTAGCCTCCTGGTAGTAACACCCTGGGTAGCTCCCTTCCAAACTCAGCAGACTGGATGCAAATACTGTGACAATGACAGAGGAGGACTTCTGAGACTAGGTCATAAAAAACGTGAAAGACATCCAGCTTCCACCTGCATCCTCTTGGGTCACTCTGAGAGAAGCCAGCATCATGAGGACTCTCCAGTGGCCGCATGGCGATGCCACATGATGAGGTGCTGAGGCCCCCAGCCCACAGCTGGCCCTGACTCGCCGGTGCTGAGAGTGAGCTTCCTCGGAAGTGGGCCCTCCAGCAGTGTCCATTCAGTGCCCAGCCCTGTGCAAAGCTCTTATTTGGGGTGGATATACAGTAAGTCAAAGCATGACCCCTGCCCTCCAGATGCTGTCTCCACAGTGCTGGTGTCAGTTAGGAGTCCGTTCAGCTGTGTGGTCCCCACTGTTGCTGGTAACACATAACAGCTTAAACAAGATAGGCTTGTATGTCTCTTAAGTAAACAAAGTCCAGAGGTGGGCAATCTATATCTCGTATGACACTCCCCCAGGCCACACAGGTGCTCCTGCTTATGGACCCAGGTTCCTTCTATCTTGTTACTGTACCATCGACAACATAAAACTTTTTTTCCCATAAGTTATTGGGGTACAGGTGATATTTAGTTACATGAGTAAGTTATTTAGTGGTGATTTGTGAGATTTTGGTGCACCCATCACCCGAGCAGTATACCCTGCACCCTGTTTGTAGCGTTTTCTCCCTCACTCCACCCCCATTCATCCCCCCAAGTCCCCAAAGTCCATTGTATCATTCTAATGCATTTGCATCCTCATAGCTTAGCCACCCATATATCAGTGAGAACATACGATGTTTGGTTTTCCGTTCCTGAGTTACTTCACTTAGAATAATAGTCTCCAGTCTCATCCAGGTCACTGCAAATGTTAACTCATTCCTTTTTATGGCTGCATAGTGTGTATATATATATATATATATAAAATATATATTTTATATATATATATATATAAAATATATATTATATATATAGAGAGTGATATATATGTATATCACATGTGATATATATATATATATCTCCCACAGTTTATCTACTCATGGATTGATGGGCATTTGGATTGGTTCCATGATTTTGCTGTTGTGAATTGTGCCACTATAAACATGCATGTGCAAGCATCTTTTTCGAATAATGACTTCTTTTCCTCTGGATAGATATTCAGTAGTGGGATTGCTGGATCAAATGGTAGTTCTACTTTTAGTTCTTTAGTTCTTTAAGGAATCTCCACACTGTTTCTCATAGTGGCTGTACTAGTTTACATTCCCACCGGCAGTGTAGAAGTGTTCCCTGTTCACTGCATCCATGCCAACTATCTACTGTTTTTTTATTTTTTTGATTATGGCCATTTTTGAAGGAGCAAGGTGGTACCGCATTGTGGTTTTGATTTGCATTTCCCTGATCATTAGTGATGTTGAGCATTTTCTCATGTTTGTTGGCCATTTGTATATCTTCTTTTGAGAATTGTCTATTCATGTCCTTAGCCCACTTTTTGATGGGATTGTTTGCTTTTTTCTTACTGATATATCTGAGTTCGTTGTAGATTCTGGATATTAGTCCTTTGTCAGATGTATAGATTGTGAAGATTTTTTCCCACTCTGTGGGTTGTCTGTTTACTCTGCTGACTGTTCCTTTCGCTGTGCAAAAGCTCTTTAGTTTAGTTAGGTCCCAGCAATTTATCTTTGTTTTTATTGCATTTGCTTTTGGGTTCCTGGTCATGAAATCCTTGCCTAAGCCAATGTCTAGAAGGGTTTTTCCAATGTTATTTTCTAGAATTTTTATAGTTTCAGGTTTTAGGTTTAAGTCCTTAATCCATCTTGAGTTGATTTTCATATAAGGTGAGAGATGAGGATCCAGTTTCATTCTCCTACATGTGGCTAGCCAATTATCCTAGCACCATTTGTTGAAAAGGGTGTCCTTTCCCCACTTTATGTTTTTGCTTGCTTTGTCGAAGATCAGTTGACTATAAGTATTTGAATTTATTTCTGGGTTCTCTATTCTGTTCCATTGGTCTATGTGCCTATTTTTATAACAGTACCATGCTGTTTTGGTGACTATGGCCTTATAATATAGTTTGAAATCAGGTAGTGTGATGCCTCCAGATTTGTTCTTTTTGCTTAGTCTTGCTTTGGCTATGCGAGCTCTTTTTTGGTTCTGTATGAATTTTAGAATTGTTTTTTCTAATTCTGTAAAGAATGATGGTGGTATTTTGATGGGGATTGCATTGAATTTGTAGATTGCTTTTGGCAGTATGGTCATTTTCACAATATTGATTTTACCCATCCATAAGCATGGGATGTGTTTCATTTGTTTGTGTTGTCTGTGATTTCTTTCAATGGTGTTTTGTAGTTTTCCATGCAGAGGTCTTTTGACTCCTTGGTTAGGTATATTCCTAAGTATTTTATTTTTCTTTGCAGCTATTGTAAAAGGGGTTGAGTTCTTGATTTGATGCTGTGCTTGGTCGCTGTTGGTGTATAGAAGAGCTACTGATTTGTGTGCATTAACCTTATATCTGGAAACTGCTGAATTATCAGTTCCAGGAGCTTTCTGGAGGAGTTCTTGGGGTTTTCAAGGTAAACGATCACATCGTCAGCAAACAGTGACAGTCTGACTTCCTCTTTACTGATTTGGATACCCTTTATTTCTTTCTCTTGTCTGATTGCTCTGGCTAGGGCTTCCAGTACTATGTTGAAGAGGAGTAGTGAGAGTGGGCATCCTTGTCTTGTTCCAGTTCTCAGGGGGAATGCTGTCAACTTCTCCCCATTCAGTATTATGTTGGCTGTGAGTTTGTCATAGATGGCATTTATTATATTAAAATATGTCCCTTGCATGCCGATTTTGCTGATAGTTTTAATCACAAAGGGATGCTGGATTTTGTGGAATGCTTTTTGTGCAGCTATTGAGATGACCATGTGATTTTTGTTTTTAATTCTGTTTATGTGGTGTATCACATTTATTGACTTGTGTGTGTATGTTAAACCATCCCTGTATCCCTGGTATGAAACCCACTTGATCATGTTGGATTATCTTTTTGATATGTTGTTGGATTCAGTTAGCTAGCATTTTGTTAAGGACTTTAGCATCAATGTTCATCAAGGATATCAGTCTGTAGTTTTCTTCTTTGGTTGTCCTCTCCTGGTTTTGGTGTTAGGGTGATGCTGGCTTCATAAAATGAATTAGGGAGGGTTCCTTCTTTCCCTATCTTGTAGAATAGTGTCAAAAGGACTGATACCAATTCTTCTTTGAATGTCTTGTAGAATT
Source organism: Homo sapiens (assembly GCF_000001405.40). Lineage (NCBI taxonomy): Eukaryota > Metazoa > Chordata > Mammalia > Primates > Hominidae > Homo > Homo sapiens. Next base: position 80,112 of record NW_011332693.1, read on the forward strand.
CTGCTGTGAATCTGTCTGGTCCTGGGCTTTTCTTTGTTGGTAATTTTTTACTTACCATTTCAGTCTCACTGCTTGTTATTGGTCTGTTCAGGGTATCTAATTCTTCCTGATTTAAACTAGGAGGGTTGTATTTTTCCAGGAATTTATCCATCTCTTCTAGGTTTTCTAGTTTATGTGTCTAAAGGTATTCTTAGTAGCCTTGAGTGATCTTTTGTATTTAAATGGTGTCGGTTGTAATATCTCCTGTTTCATTTCTTAGTGAAGTTATTTGGATTTTCTCTCTTCTTGGTTAATCTTGCTAATGGTCTATCAATTTTATTTATCTTTACAAAGAACCAGTTTTTTGTTTCATTTATCTTTTGTAATTTTTTTGTTTCAATTTCATTTAGTTCTGCTCAGATCTTGGTTATTTCCTTTCTTCTGCTGAGTTTGGGTTTGGTTTGTTCTTCTTTCTCTAGTTCCTTAGAATGTCAGTTTGTGCTCTCTCAGTCTTTTGATGTAGGCGTTTAGGGCTATGAACTTTCCTCTTAGCACTGCCCTTGCTATATCCCAGAGGTTTTGATAGGTTGTGTCATTATTGTCATTCAGTTCAAAGAATTTTTTAATTTCCATGTTGATTTCGTTTTTGACCCAATGCTCACTCAGAAACAAGTTATTTAATTTCTGTATATTTGCATGGTTCTGAAGGTTCCTTTTGGAATTGATTTCCAGTTTTATTCTGCTGTGGTCTGAGAGAGTGCTTGATATAATTTCAATTTTCTTAAATTTATTAAGGCTCATTTTATGACCTATCATATGGTCCAACTTGGAGAAAGTTCCATGTGCTGTTGAATAGTATGTGTATACTGTGGTTGTTGGATGAAATGTTCTGAATATATCTGTTAGGTACACTTCTTCCAAGGTATAGTTTAAATCCATTGTTTCTTTGCTTTCTGTCTTGATGACCTGCCTAATGCTGTCAGTGGAGTATTGAAGTCCCCCGCTATTATTGTGTTGCTGTCTATCTCATTTCTTAGGTCTATTAATAATTGTTTATAAATTTGGGAGCTCCAGTGTTAGGTGCGTATATGTTTAGGATTGTGATATTTTCCTGTTGGACAATACATTTTACCATTATGTAACATCCCTCTTTGTCTCTTTTAATTGCTGTTGCTTTGAAATTTGTTTTGTCTGGTATAAGAATAGCTACCCCTGCTCACTTTTGGTGTTCATTTGCATGAAATGCCTTTTTCCACCCCTTTACTTTAAGTTTATGTGAGTCCTTATGCATTAGGTGAGTCTCCTGGAAGCAACAGATAGTTGGCTGGTGAGTTCTTATCCATTCTGCAGTTCTGTATATTTTAAACGGAGCATTTAGGCCATTTACATTCAATGTTAGTACTAAAATGTGAGGTACTGTTGCATTCATTGTGTTTTTCGTTGCCTGTGTACTTCGATTTTTTTTTGTTTTTTGCTTTTTAACACGTATTTTTGTTTTATTGTGATTTATGCTTTAAAGAGGTTCTGTTTTGATGCGTTTCCAGAATTTGTTTCAAGATTTAGAGCTCCTTTTAGCAGTTCTTGTAGTGGCAGCTTGGTAATGGCAAATTCTCTCAGCATTTGTTTGTCTGAAAACGACTGTATCTTTCCTTTATATATGATGCTGAGTTTCGCCGGATACAAAATTCTTGGCTGAGGGTTGTTTCATTTGAGGAGGTAGAAGATAACGCCCCAATCCCTCCTAGCTTGTTGGGTTTCTGCTGAGAAATCTGCTGTTCATCTGATAGGTTTTCCTTTATAGGTTACCTGGTACTTCTTCTCACAGCTCTTAAGATTCTCTCCTTCATCTTAACTTTGGATAACATGATGACAATGTGCCTAGGTGAAGATCTTTTTGCAATGAATTTTCCAGGTGTTCTTTGTGCTTCTTGTATTTGGATGTCTAGGTCTCTAGCAAGGCCAGGGAAGTTTTCCTTGATTATTCTCCCAAATATGTTTTCCAAACTTTTAGAATTCTCTTCTTCCTCAAGAACACCGACTATTCTTAAGTTTGGTTGTTTAACATAAACCCAGACTCCTTGGAGACTTTGTTCATATTTTCTTATTCTTTTTTCTTTGTCTTTGTTGGACTGGGTTAATTCAAAGACCTTGTCTTCAAGCTCTGAATTTTTTTCTTCTACTCATTGAATTCTATTGCTGAAACTTTCCAGAGCATTTTACATTTCCAAAAGTGTGTCCAAAGTTTCCTGAATTTTTTATTGTTTTTTCTTTAAGCTATCTGTTTCCTTGAATATTTCTCACTTCACTTCTTGTATCATTTTTTGGATTTCCTTGCATTGGGCTTCTCTTTTCTCCGGTCCCTCCCTAATTCGCTTAATAACTAACCTCCTGAATTCTTTTTCAGGTAAATCAGGGATTTCTTCTCTTCTTGGTTTGGATCCATTGCTGGTGAGCTAGGGTGATTTTTGGAGGGTGTTGAAGAACCTTGTTTTGTCATATTACCAGGGTTGGTTTTCTGGTTCCTTCTCTTTTTGGATAGGTTCTGTCAGAGGGAAGGTCTAGGGCTGAAGGCTGTTGTCCAGATTCTTTTGTCCCACGGGTGTTCCCTTGATGTAGTACTCTCCCCCTTTTCCTGTGGATGTGGCTTACTGTGAGCTGAACTGCAGTGATTGTTGTTGCTCTTCTGGGTCTAGTCACCCAGTAAGTGGGCCCAGCTCCGGGCTGGTACTGTGAGTTGTCTGCACAGAGTCCTGTGATGTGAACCATCCATGGGTCTCTCAGCCATGGATACCAGAGCCTGTTCTGGTGGAAGTAGTGGGGGTGTGCAATGGACTCTGTGAGGGTCCTTAGCTTTGGTGGTTTAATGTTCTATTTTTGTGCTGGTTGACCTCCTGCCAGGAGGTGGCGCTTTCCAGAAAGCATCAGCTGTAGTAGTATAGAGAGGGACCAGCAGGGGGTGGGGCCCTAGAACTCCCAAGATTATATGCCCTTTGTCTTCTGCTACCAGGGTGAGTAGGGAAGGACCATCAGGTGGGGGCGGGGTAGGCATGTCGGAGCTCAGACTCTCCTTGGGCAGGTCTTGCTGTGGCTGCTGTAGGGGATGGGGGTGAGATTCCCAGGCCACTGGAGTTGTGTACCTGGGAGGATTATGGCTGCCTCTGCTAAGTCATGCAGGTTGTCAGGGAAGTCGGGGAAAGCTGGCAGTCACAGGCCTCACCCAGCTCCCATGCAAACCGAAGGGCTAGTCTCTCCCACCGCGCCTCCACCAATAGCCCCAAGTCTGTTTCCAGGTGGTGGGCGACAGGGGCTTGAAAACTTGCCCCAGGCTACCCAACTCCCAGCAGTGAAAGAAAAGGGCTTGGTTCTTCCCCCGCCTGTGAAGTCTGCACTCTGGATTTGCACCCTCCTCCAAGTTCTGGCCACGAGGCCTTACAAAGTTCAGCTTGAGAATTCCTTCTTTCTGTGGAGTTTTGCCCCCTGCTCCTCTGGTCACCCTCCCGATGGATCCCTGTGGTGCCAGCAGAAATGACCTGCTAGGGGACCCAGTGAGCTCCCAGGGCCTTTCTGCTGCTTCCTCTACCCCTGTATTTCGCTCAGCTCTCTAAATTGGCTCAGCTTCAGGTAAGGTTGGAAACTTTTCCTGCAAACAGACCTTCAGTTTCTCCAGTGGGGGAGTGTGTTTGGGAGAGGAGGGTTGGGGCACTCACAGTATTTGGGGTGTCTCCTGGGTCCTGCAGGAGCAGTCTGCTTCCTTCAGAGAGTCTGTAATTTCTCTCAGGATTGCTGGTTTGTCCAGCATACAACTTTTTCCTCCTAGTCCAAGATGGGTGCTGGAGCTGCAGCCATTACATCTTTTGAGCAGAAGGAAGAAGGAGGACATAAAGCATGTCTTCTATTAAAGACAACACATGTTGCACACACCCCTTCGGTTCATATCCCATTGGCCTAAATGTAATCCAATTGTCAGTTTTTTGTTTGTTGTTTGTTTGTTTGCTTGTTTTTGTTTTCATGACAGGCTTATACCCAGGTAAACTTGGGGGTTCCAGTATGAAGAAAGAAAAGATGGGCTTGGTGGGTAATTTGCAGTTTCTTTCCCAGAACCTGATGGAGGCCTCACAATTAGGCATGTCATCCAACAGACACACCTAATGGGTCTCTGTTCCTCTTGGCAGTTGCCTAAGAGGGCCAATGTTCTCTTTCCAAACACTTCCTCTGAAGCACATCCCAGTATTATTCTCCAACACATCATTCTTCCTGTCTCTCCCCATGAAACGCAGAGTCCACAAGGGCAGGGACCTTGTCTGCCTGGCCCTGTTTTGGATTCCCAGCTTCTGAATATCTGCTGCATGAATGAATGAACGAGCCAAAGAGAGACCCTTTGACTCTGTATTATGGTCAATAATAAGTTTGCACAGGTGCTCCTGCTTAGGAAACCACACTTCAAACATTTGCATGCCTATGGCCTAAGCTGAGACCATTTTGAAGGCATCTGGAAGCCCTTTGCTGAGAGCAGTGTGCAAACATGCAGTGTCCTCCTCATCCCTGCTTTGGCACACACAGTGCCTGACTGGTAGGGAACTGCTCCATCTTGTCTGCCATGTAAAAAGATGCCAGGTATTCTTATGAGGAAAATGAAACAAGCACAGAAAAGGAATCTGTTTTTAAAGCTCTTTAACTTTCCCCATGGGGGCCAGTGTCTGTGTCTATACAATATCCCAAGCCCCAGATAAAACATGCAAACCATACTCATCAAGTCAAATAAGTGGTCTGAAGGTTTTTGTTTTTGCAAACTCACTTAGAGGTCACAGAGACCTGGATAAGGAATGATGTCCAAAGAGCTGCAAACACAAACCATATTTTAAAAAAGAGAAAAGGAACCTCTGCAAGTTTCTGTAAAAAGTGTCCGTGTCTTGCAAGTAACCAAAAGTTGTGGTATTCCAGCACCGCCAATAGAAAAGTGAGTGATTCTCACACACACATGCATGAATAGCTTTAAAAAGTCCAAGAGGAAGATGAATAAGGAAATAAATAAAATGTATGAAAAACAGATATACAAAAGACTACAATATATGAAAAACCATTCAAATCCATTAGAAATCAAATTAACTATTTTCAACTTCAAACTGGCAAGCATTTTTAAAATAATACTCAGTGCTGGCAAATATGTAGTGAAATGGCCAATTGCACAGCCGAC
>NW_011332692.1:0-14347 GCF_000001405.40 Homo sapiens
CACTCAAGAAATGTGGACTGAGAAGAACTTTCCAGAGAGAGCCCAGGGAACAGGGATGTGAGAAGTGACATCCATGGCCAGTTTGGCAACAACGAGCTACGCTCCCAGCTCAGCTTCCACCTTGGGGGCCCTGTTCTGAAAACCGGGTGGTGCCCAGGATGCAGGCATAGGAGAGGTGAGAAGCTGCCTTTCCACCTTGGTCACTCGGTGCTGCTGGTGATCACATGCACAGGGTAGAAATGCTGCTGGCTGTGGATTGAAGCCAGAGTGACAGTTCCCAGTAACTTTCCATCCTCGGGGTTTGGGGTGCAGTGTTGGCCTGCTGCAGCCAACCCTCCTGCGTAACACCCTCTGTCCATTAACACCTGTAACTCGAGCCTGGTCATCTCCCTTCCTGCAGGCAGCAGCCTTGACCCATCCTACTGAGCCCAGTCCAGCTCTTCTCACCCTGCCCGCCCTTTTACCCCATCCACCTGGTGCCTCCCAGGCCTGCTCTGGCTAGGGCTCAGCCTCCAGCCAGCCTCCTCGCCTGCCTGTGGGACAGCTGTCTCCTTGCTGTGTTCACAAATGGCTCACAGGTTGTGCCCATCCTCACTCCCTGTTGCACGGAACCTGCCTTCTGTGATCCTGTTCTCTCACCCGCTCCAAGAGGAGAGGTGAGCTGTCTTTATTGGACATGCTAATTTCATGGGACATGGGCTGGAGGCAGGGTCTGCAGCTCGTGAAGGGTTCTGAGGCTGCTCTGGACTCAGCAGGAACGATATCATCATGGCTTCGTGGTGTGCGCCAGGTGGTACCTTTGCGGCACCTTCCGTTCCAAACCCTGCACACCTGAGCACCCCTCCAGCCACACCCATGCCGTGAAATTCGCGCTCCCAGAACGACTCGGTGGCCTACCATGCCCAGGGTGCAGAGAAAACACCAAAGGAAAGTGGAAGAGGCTGAACAGAGTTTAGCTTACAAAGGTTAGCCTGAACAGCTTCTCTTCATTTTTGAGTGCCCTCTGCTAACCGTTTTTTTTCTTTTTTCTTTTTTTTTTTTGGAGACAGTTTTGCTCTTGTTGCCCAGGCTGGAGTGCAGTGGCACGATCTCGGCTCACTGCAACCTCCGCTTCCCAGGTTCAAGCAATTCTCATGCCTCAGACACCCAAGTATCTGGGATTACAGACACCCGCCACCACACCCAGCTAATTTTTGTATTTTTAGTAGAGACAGGGTTTCACCACGTTGGCCAGGCTGGTCCCGAACTCCTGACCTCAAGTCATCCACCCACCTCAACCTCCCAAAGTGCTGAATTTACAGACGTGAACCACTGCGCCCGGCCCCTCTGCTAACTGCTTTTTATATATTGAATTCTTCAGTCCTTGCAAAAGCCCTGAATGATGCTACCATCTCTAAGCTACAGATGGGAAGACCAAATCTGAAGCTATCTATGTAACTCGCAACATCGCACAGCTGCTGGGGGAGGGGCCTGGGATTCAACCCCCAAAGGCATATGTCCTACCTGCTCTTTCCCCTCCAGAATGCTGCCCTCAGCATGGATATTGCAGCATGGGGTATCCCTGAGAGAGGAGGGCAGCCCCACACAGGGGTGGCACCAGTGCTCCCTGCCCCATCATTTTTCTTTAGCAAAATATGCTTAGTTTCCCATCAGGGAATCAGCAGGCCCTAGGTAAGTACACAGACAGTGTAAAGTGGTTTGTTTATAACACAAGGATGCCTGCCAAAGGGGACAAGTAGAGTGAGATGCAGACTGCGCCCTGCCTGCCATGCCCAGCGGGCAGCACTGGCCTGCAGGAGGTGACTTCCCTCTTTAGAAAGGCTCCGTGTGAGTTAGAGGTGACCTTGATGGAGTCTGCAGTTCTGTAAATTCAATCTCATTGTGCTTCATCAGATTTCACAGCCAAATTTCCCTGGTGGTGGTTTCTCCACAAATAACAAAACAAAGATCCATCTTTTCTAGAATCCATGATATATTTTTCTGCCCTCCTACAATGCATTCTCCATATCCATAACCATAATAATATTGTCAAAAAATGAATCAGAACAAGTGATTCCCTAGCTTTAAAGTCCTCTAATGGTTTCCTATTGCATTTAGCATGAAATCCAGACTCCTTCCTATGGCTCACCATGTCTTACAGTGAGCACACTCCAGCCTAACTCTCCACCATCATCATAAACACCATCACCACCACCACAACCACCACTACCACCATCACCATTAACGTCATCACCATCAACATCATCACCATCACCATCATCACCATCACCACCACCATTATCACCACCATAACTACCACCATCACCACCACTATCACCATCAGCACCACCATCACTATCATCATCATCACCACCAGCACTACTATCATCACCATCACCACCATCACCAACATCACCACTATCACCAACACCACAACCACAACCCCCACCACTGTCATCACTGCCATCACCATCATCACCATCACCACAACCACCATCACCACCACCACCATCAACATCACCATCACTGTCATCAACATCACTAACACCACCATCACCATCACCACCACCATTATCACCACCATAACTACCACCGTCACCATCAGCAACACCATCACTATCATCACCATCACCATCATCACCACCATCATCGCCATCACCACCACCATCATCGCCATCACCAACACCATCATCACCACCATCATCGCCATCACCACCACCATCATCACCACCATCATCGCCATCACCATCACCATCATCACCACCATCATCACCATCACCACCACCATCATTGCCATCACCACCACCATTATAACCACCACCACCATCACCATCACCAGCATCACCATCATCACCATCACCATCACCACCATCACCACCATTATTATCACCAGATTTTCCCTAAATCAATAGAGATATTCCCCTGAATCTAAACTGCTGTGTATAAGGAGTTGAGAACCCCAGAGTAAAACTAAACAACCCCTGAGGGGCCGAGAGTACATGGCATGTGATGGTGGCCTTTGAGACATCTCTTCTGACTTGTTAGAGGCTTTTTGTCTATGACATGCTCTGTTGACATGGACTGAATTTTGTCCCCCTGAAATTCATGAGTTGAAGCCCTAACCCTCAATAAACCTGTATTTGGAGATAGAGCCTTTAGGAGAAAATTAGGTTAAATGAGTTCATAAGAGTGAGGCCCAAGTCTGATAGGATTAGTGTCCTTATAAGAAGAGTGAGACCAGACCTCTCTGTCTCCACCGTGTGAGAACATGGTGAGGCAGCAGCCATCTACCAACCAAAAGGAGAGCCCTCACCAGAAACCGCCTCTGCCAGACCTTGATTGGGGACTTCTTATGTCCAGAACTGAGAGATAATAAAATTTGGTTGTTTAAGCCACTTAGTCTGTGGTTTTTTGACATGTCGGCCAAAGCAGACTAAGACATCTGTGTTCTGAAGAGTTACCTTACTAAATTTCTATGGAAGGTGAGACATTATTATAAATTATATTTATGTTTTTTGAAAAACCAAAGTCATCTCATTTTTACTCAATTTTTGGTTATATGGCAAATTTCTAAGTAAGTTAGATTTTGCCATTGACTTCTGTGATAAAACCACAGCCTTTTTTTTCTGTTTTGTGGTTTACCATTTTATGTGTATGGTTCAGTGACTTTAAATACATTCACATTGTTATGCAACCATCACCACCATCCATCCACAGAACTTCTTTATCTTCCAAAACTGAAACTTTGTGCCCATTACACTAAACTTCCCATTCCTCTCCCCAACCCCCAGCTGCTGGCAACCACCATTCTACTTCCTGTCTCTGAATTTCATTCCTCAAATTACTTCATGGAGGTGGAATCATACAGTATTTACCCTTTTGTGACTGGCTTATTTCACTTAGCATAATGATCTTCAGAGACACCTATGTTGTAACATGTGTTATAATAATTTTTTTCCTTTTTTTTTTTTCCGGGATGGAGTCTAGCTCTGTCACCCATACTAGAGTGCAATGGCACAATCTCGGCTCACTGCAACCTCCGTCTCCCAGGTTCAAGTGATTCTCTTGCTTAACCCTCCCGAGTAGCTGGGATTACAGGCACCCACCAGAACACCCAGCTGATTTTTGTATTTTTAGCAGAGACAGGGTTTCACTGTGTTGGCCAGGCTGGTCTCGAACTCCTGACCTTGTGATCTGCCTGCCTTGGCCTCCCAAAGTACTGGGATTAATTATTTTTCCTTTTTAAGGTTAAATAATATTCCATTTTGTGGATATGCCACATTTTGTTTATCCATTCATCTGTCAACAGACACTTGGGTTGCTTCCATCTTTTGACTATTGTGAATAATGCTGTTGTGGACATGGGTGTAGAAACATCTCTTTGAGGCTCTGCTTTTAATTCTTTGAGGTATATACCCAGAGGTGTAATTGCTGGATCATGTGAAATCTGAGAAACCACCATATTGTTTCTATAGTTGTGTAGTATCTCACTGTGGTTTTGATTTGCATTTTCCTAATTATTCATGTTGTTGAGCATCTTTTCATGTACTTATTGGTCATTTGTATATCATTGGAGAAATATATATTCAAGTCCTTTGTCTATTTTTTAATTGTGTTGTTTTTTGGTTGTTGAATTGCAAGAGTTCTTTATATATGGATAGTAATCCGTTATCAGATATATAATTTACAAATATTTCCTGCCATTCAGTGTGTTGCCTTTTACTCTGTTGACAGTGTCATTTGATTCACAAAAATTTTTAATATTTACATGTTCCAATTATCTGATTTTTTTGTTGCCTATGCTTTCGGTGTCGTAGCCAAGAAATCCTTGCCAAATGCAATGCCATGAAGCTGTGCCCCTACATTTTCTTGTGAGTATTCTAACTCTCATATCTAAGTCTTTGACTATTTTTAATTTCTGCATATGGTGTAAGGTAAGGGTACAACTTCATTCTTTTGCATGTGGCTATCCAGTTTTCCCAGTAACATTTGTTGAAAAGACTGTCCTTTTCCCTATTGGATAGTCCTAGCAACTTTTTAAAAAATCACAAGGCCATATATACAAGAGTTTATTTCTGGGCTCTCTATTCTATCTCACTGATCTATGTGTCTGTCTATACGTCAATACCACTCTGTTTTTAATACTGTAGATTTTTAGAAATTTTGAAACTAAGAAGTGTGAGACCTCCAACTGTGTTCTTTTTCAAGATTGTTTTTGCTATTTAGGGTCCCTTGAGATTCTATATGAATGTTAGGATAGATTTTTCTAGTTTTGTAAAAAAAAAATTGATGTTGGAATTTTAAGATAAATTGCATTTAATCTAGAGACCACATCTTTCAATTTTAGGTCTTCTCATCTATGAACAAAGGATGTCTATTTTTGTAGTGTCTTTAATTTCTTTGAGCAATATTTCATAGTTTTCAGTGTACACATCTTTCACCTCCTTGGTTCAGTTTGTTTCTATTTTTTATTTTGTTTGGTCCCACTTTAAATGAAATTGCTTTCTTAATTTCTTTTTCAGGTTGTTCATTGTTATTGTATAGAAACACAGCTAATTTCTGTATGCTGAGTATTCTGTAAGTTTGCTAATTTTGTTATTAGTTCTATCATGTTTCTTATGGAATCTTTGGGGTTTTCTACATATGAAATTACATCATCTATGAAAGGGATCGTTTTACTTTTTATTTCCCAATTTTAATGCTTTTTATTTCCTAATTTATCTGGTCAAGATTTCCATTACTATGCTGAATTTAAAAGTAGGCATTCTTCCCTTGTGTCTTAGCTTAGAAGAAAAGTTTTCAATCTTTCATCATTAAGTATGATGTTAGCAATGGGCTTTCCATATATGGCCTTAATTATGTTGAGGTAGTTTCCTTCTGTTCCTAGTTTGGTGGATGTTTTTTATCATGGAAAGGTGTTGGATTTTGTCAAATATTTTTCTCCATCAATTGAGATGATCACATGGGAACTGTTTCTTCATTCTGTTAATGTAGTTATTACATTAATTCATTTTCATATGTTGAACTATCCTTGAATTTCAGAAATAAATCCCACGAGGTCATGTGTATAATTTTTTTGATGTGTCACTTAATTCTGTTCACTAATATTTGGTTGAGGATTTTTACATCAGTATTTATCAGAGATATTGATCTGTAGCTTAATTTTATTGTAGTACCTTTGTCTTGCTTTGGTGAAAGAGTAATCTTGGCCTTGAAGAATAAGTTTGAAAGTGTCCCCTTACCTTAAACTTTTTTGGAAACTTTTGAGAAGGATTAGTGTTAACTCTTCTTTAAATGTTTGGTAGAATTCACGAATGAAGCCATCAGCTCCTGGGATTTTCTTTGTTGGCAGATTTTGGATCATTGATTCAATCTCTTTGCTAGTTATATGTCTGTTCGTATTTTCTATTTCTTTGTGGGTTAGTCTTGGTAGGTGGTATATGTCTAGGAATTTATCCATTTTGTCTAGGTTGTCCAATTTTTTGGCATACAAATATTCATACTATTGTCTTATTAATATAATCATTTTATTTCTGTTAAATCAGTGGTAATGTCTGCACTTACATTTCTGATTTTAGTTATTGAGACTTCCCTCTTTTATCTTACTCAGTCGAACTAATTGTTCATTAATTTTGGTGATTTTTTCAAAGAACTGAACTTGGTTTTGCTAACTTACTCTACCATGTTCCTATTCTTTATTTCAGTTGTCTGTACTCTAGTCTTTATTATTTCTTTCCTTCTACTGGATTTGGGTTTAGTGTGTTCTCCCTTTTTCTACTTCTTTAAGGTATAATGTTAGATTGTTAATTTAAGATCTTTCTTCTTGTTTATCATAAGCATTTACACTATAAACTACCCTCCTAGCACAGATTTTGATGCATCTGGTAAGTTTTGGTATGTTTACTGTAGCCCTGCAATATAGTTTGAAGTCAGGTAATGTGATGCCTCCAGCTGTGTTCTTTTTGCTTAGGGTTGCCTTGGCCATTCGGGCTCTTTTTTGGTTCCATATGAATTTTAAAATAGTTTTTTCTAGTTCTGTGAAGAATGTCATTGGTAGCTTAATAAAAATAGCATTGAATCTGTACACTGCTTTGGGCAGTATGGTCATTTTAATAAGATTGATTCTTCCTATCTGTGAGCATGAGATTTTTAAAAATTTGTTTTTGTCTTACCTGATTTCTTTCAGCAGTGCTTTGTAATTCTCACTGCAGAGATCTTTCACCTCCCTGGTTAGCTGTATTCCTAGATATTTTTTCATTTTTGCAGCAATTGTGAATGAGATTGCCTTCCTGATTTGTTTCTCGGCTTGGTTTCTTCTTGTTGTTTGTGTACAGGAATGCTGGTGATTTTTCTACATTGATTTTGTATCCTGAAACTTTGCTGAAGTTGTTTATCAGCTGAAGGAGCTTTTGGGTCGAGACTATGGGTTTTTCTAGATATAGAATCATGTCATCTGCAAATAGGGATAGTCTGATATCCTCTCTTCCTATTTGGATATGCTTTATTTCTTTATTTTGCCTGATTGCTCTGGCTAAGACTTCCAATAATACTTGAATAGGATTGGTGAAAGAAGGCATTCTTGTCACGTGTTGGTTTTCAAAAGGAATTCTTCCAGCTTTTGCCCATTTAGTATGATGTTGCCTGTTAGTTTGTCACATATGGCTCTTATTATTTTGAGTTGTGTTCCAAAACATCATGGTGCTGGTACAAAAACAGGCACATAGACCAATGGAACAGATAGAGAGCCTAGAAATAAGACTGCACACTTACAACCATCTGATCTTCAACAAAGCTGACAAAAACAAGCAATGGGGAAAAGACTCCCTATTCAATAAATGGTACTTGGATAAGTGGCTAGCCATATGCAGAAGATTGAAGGTAGACCCCTTCCTTGCACCATATACCAAAATCAACTCAAGATGGATTAAAGACTTACATATAAAACCCAAAACTATAAAAAACCCTGGGAGACAACCTAGGCAATATTATCCTGTACATAGGAATGGGCAAAGATTTCATGACAAAGCACCTCACAACAAAAACAAAAATTGACAAATAAGATCTAATTAAACTTAAGAGCTTCTGCACAGCAAAAGAAACTATCAGCAGAGTAAACAGACAACCTACAGGATGGCAGAAAATATTTGCATATTATGCATCTGACAAAGGTCTAATATCCAGCATCTATAAGAAACTTAAACAAGTTTATAAGCAAAAAACAAACAACCCCATTAAAAAGGGGGCAAAGGACATGAACACTTCTCAAAAGAAGACATACGTGCAACCAACAAGCATATGAAGAAAAGCTCAATATCACTGATCATTAGAGAAATGCAAATAAAAACCACAACGAGATACTGTCTCACAACAATCAGAATAGCATTATTAAAAATTCAAAAAAATAACAGATACTGGTGAGGTTGTGGAGAAAAGGGACCACTTATACACTGTTGATGAAAGTGTAAGTTAGTTCAACCATTGTGGAAAGCAGTATGGCGATTCTTCAAAGAAAGAGCTAAAAACAGAATTACCATTCAACTCAGGAATCCCATTACTGGGTATATGCCCAGAGGAATATAAATCATTCCACCATAAAGACACATGCACACGAATGTTCATTGCAGCACTGTTCACAATAGCAAAGACATGGAATCAACCTAAATGCCCATCAATGACAGACTGGATAAAGAAAATGTGGTACATATATACCATAGAAGACTACGCAGCCATAAGAAGAGTGATACCATGTCTTTTTCAGGAACATGGATGAAGCTGGAGGCTATTATCCTTGGCAAACTAACACAGGAACAGAAAACCAAATGCGGCATGTTCTCATTTCTAAGTGGGACCCACATGATGAGAACTCACAAACACGAAGAAGGGAACAACAGATGCTGGGGTCTCCTTGAGGGTGGAAGATGGAAGGAGGAAGAGGAGCAGAAAAAATAACTTTTGGGTACTGGGCTTAATACCTGCAGTTGAAATCATCAGTACAAAAAAGCCCTGTGACATGAATTTACATATATATATAATATATATATAATATAAAATATTTTTATTTTATAAATATTTATTATTATATAAATATACATAATATAAAAATATATATATAAAACAAACTTGCATATGTGCCCCTGAACCTAGAATTAAAGTTAAAAAGAAAAAAAGTTTTAGTATGTTATGTTTTATTTTCATTTGTCCCAAGACATTTTCTAATTTCCCTTGGGGTTTCTTCTTTGACTCACTGGTTTCTATGAGTATATTGCTGAATTTCTACATATCTGTGGATTTTCCAGCTTTCCTCATGCTATTGATTTCTGGTTTCATTCCAGTGTGATCAGAATCAGAATTGCATAATTTTAATATTTTCTAATTTCTAAAAATGTGCTTTGTATCCTAAGATATGATCTATCTTAGAGAATGTTTCATGTATACTTGAGAAAAATGTGTATTCTGCTCTTGTTGGTTGGGGCTGTTCTATTATTTTAGTTAGTCAATAGCGGTGTTCTATTTCCTTATTTTTCTGATTTTCTCTATTTCCTAATTTTTTCTATCCGGTTGTTCCATCCATTATTAAAAAGGAGATATGTAAGTATCCTACTATTATTGTAGCACTGTTTCTCCCTTTCATTCTGTCAATGTTTGCTTCATATATTTAGGTGCTCTGGTGTCTGCCGCATATATGGTTATAACTGTTATATCTTCTTTATGACTTGACCCTTTTATTGTTTGTTATATAATGACTGCGTTTTTCTCTTTTGACAAGTTCTTACTTAAAGTCTATTTTGTACGAGAGTAGCATAGCTACTCCTGCACTCATTTGGTTCATATTTGTGTACTATACTTTTAAAAGCACAGAATATCTTTTTCTGTCCTTTTACTTACAATCCATGCATGTCCTTGGATCCAAAGTGTTTCTCTTGCAGACGGCATATACTTAGCTCCCAGGGTTTGGTTTTTTTTTTTTTTTTTAATCCTTTCTGCCAATTTATGTCTTTTGATTGGGAAGTTTAATCTGTTTACATTTAAAGTATTTACTGTTAAGGACTTACTATTATCATTTTGTTGTTTGTTTTCTGTATATCTTGTAGCTTTTTCATCTCTCATTTCCGTCCTTACTTCCTTCCTTTGTGTTTAGTTCATTTTTTATAGTGACATGCTTTCATTCCCTTCTCATTTCCTTTTGTGTATATTCTATAGTTTTGTGTGTACAGTTACCATGGAGATTATATATAATATTGTAAAATTACAACAATTTATTTTAAACCGATACCAACTTAACTTCAATCAAATACAAAACTCTACTCCTTTAAAGCTCTACTCCTACCCTTTTTATTAATGCCACAAATTATATCTCTGTTACTACATCTTTGTCACAAATTACATATATTGTGAGCCAACTAACAGTTATTTGTATTTATTTTTATACTTTTGTCTTTCAATTCCTGTAGAATAAACAGTGAAGAACAAAAATTACAATACTGGTAATACTAGAATATATATACTTTTACTGTTTACCTTTATATTTTGGTATGACTTTGAGTTACCATCTGGCATCCTTTCATTTCAACTCGAAAGTCTCACTTTGGCATTTCTTATAGGGCAGCTGTAGTCGTAAAGAACTTCTTTAGCTTGTGTATCTGCATATGTCATAGTATCTCCCTCATTTTAAAGAACAGTTTTGCTGGACACAGAATTCTTGGTTGATAGCTTTATTTTTTCTTTCTGAACTTGAATGTATCATCCTGCTGCCTGCTGGATTTTAAGATTTATGCTGATAAATTCACTAATAATTTTACTGAGGAGCACTTCTATGCAATAAATTGCTTTTCTCTCTCACTGCTTTTAAGATTCTCTCAAGATACAAAATCAACATACAAAAATTAGTTGTATTTTCATAACAATGAACTGTCCATAATTTAAAATAAGAAAAAAATCCTATTTGCAATAGATCAAAATGAATAAAATATTTAGGATAAATGCAACCAAAAAGAAAGCAACCTCTATACTGAAAACTATAAAAACAGTGGTGAAAGAAATTGAAGAAGACACAAATAAATGGAGAGATATCCTGTGTTCATGGATTAGAAGAACTAATATTGTTAAAACATCTATCTAAAGTGATCTACAGATTCATTTGCAAGCCCAATCAAAATTCTAATAGCATTTTTTACTATCTGGAAAGAACTAATCCTAATATTTGTATGGAACTGCAAAAGATCCCAAGTAACTAAAGCAATCTTGAGCAAGAAGAACAAAGCAGGAGACACTAGACTCCTGATTTCAAATTATATCCAAAGCTATTGTGATCAAAATAGTATGATACTGGCGTAAAAACAGACACACAGATGAATGGAACAGAATAGAAAGCTCAAAAATAAACCCACATATATACAGTCAACTCATCTTTGACAAAAGCATCAAGAATACAGAATGAGAAAAGAACAGTCTCTTCTATAAATATTGTTGGGAAAACTGGATATCCAACTGCAAAAAAAAAAGAAAGAAATTGAATCTTAATCTTACATCAGACACAAAAATCAACTCAAAGTGGATTAAAGACTAAGTCTTGAACATAGCACTTGAAACCTTGGTCTTGGCAATAATTTTTTGGATATACCAATAAAAGCACAGATCTACAAAAGCAAAAATAACCAAATGGAACTATATCAAACTAAAAAGCTTCTGCCAAGCAAAGGAAACAATCTAAAAAATGAAAAAGCAACCTACAGAATGGGAAAAAAAATTTATAAACCAAACATTCAATAAGAAGTTAATATCCAAAAAATAAAGAATTCATACAACTTAATAATAATAATAATAATAATAATAAATACCCCAGTTTAAAATGGACAAGGACACCTGAACTGACATTTTTCCAAAGATATACAAATGATCAAGAAGTATATGAAGAGGTACTCAATATCACAAATTATTAGAGAAGTATAAATCAAAACCACAATAAGATATCACAGCACATCTGTTAGGACATATATTGTCAAAAAGACAAGAGGTAACAAGTGTTGGTGAAGATATGGGAAAAAAAGGAAACCTTGTGTACTTTTGATGGGGATATAGATTGGTACAGTCATTACAGAAAATGATAGGGAGGCTTCTCAAAAAATTAAAAATAAAACTATCATACAATCCAGTAACTCAAATTCTGGACATATATCCAAAGGAAATGAAATCAGTATGCTAGGGAGATATCTGCGGCTGCATATTCATCACTGCATTATTCTCAATAGCCAAGATGTGGAAACAACCTGTGTCCATGGGCAGATGAATAGATTTTTTACTGTAGTATGTATACATAAATAATGGACCATTATTTAGCCTTAAAGAAAGAGAATTCTGTCATTTGTAACAAGCTTACCATAATGTTCTCACTTCACATAATGTCCAGGTTTGTGATGGACATTATACCTCAAAAAAGTTGGGAAAAAATAATAAATTAATAGATAGTCTTTGGTTTCAGACTTTTTTATTATGGTATGTCTCTTTGTGGGGTCTTTATGAGTTTATTATTCTTGGAGTTCATTGAGTTTCTTGTATTTGTACATCCATTTCTTTCCTTATATTTGAGGAGTTTTTAGCCTTTATTTTTTCAAATAAGCTCTCTTCCCCTTTCTCTTTCTCTTACCTTCTGCAACACCTATAATGTGTATATTGGTCCACCTGATCTTGTCCCATAGGTCTTTCACGCTGTGTTCACTTTTCTTCATTCTTTTTCTTCTTGCCCCTCAGACTCAACAATTTCAAATGATCTATCTTTAGGTTAGCTGATTCTTCTGCCTGTTCAAGTTTATTGTTATAACCTTCTAGCGAATTTTTCAGTTCAGTTATTGTATTTTTCAGCTCCATAATTTCTGTTTGGTTCTTTTTATAATTACTTTTTTAAAAAAATATATTCTGGCCAGGCATGGTGGCTCATGCCTGTAATCCCTACACTTTGGGAAGCTGAGGCAGGAGGATTGCTTGAGTCTAGGAATTCAAGACCAGCCTGGGCAACATAGCCAGGCCTTGTCTCTACAAAAATAAAAATACAAAAATTAGCTGGACATGGTGGCATGTGCCTGTAGTTCAAGCTATTTGGGAGGCTGAGGTGGGAGGTCACTAGAGCCTGGGATGTCAAGGCTGCAGTGAGCCATGAATATCACTGCACTCAGGGCAACAGAGTGAGACTCTATCTCAAAAAAACAAACAAACAAAAATTCTCACTATGTTTATGTATCATTTTCCAGATTTCCTAATGTTCTTTTCCATGTTTTCCTTTAACTGTCTGAGTTTCTTTAAGACATCTGTTTAAAGTCTTTGGCAAGTTGATTTACTGTGTTTCTTTAAGGTCAGTCTGAAGGTTTATTTTCTTTCTTTGATGAGTCACATTTCCTTTTTTTTTTTTTTTTTTTGTATGCCTTGTGATATTTTGTTGAATATTGAGCATTTGAGAAGGCATCAATCTCTCTCTCTTTAGAGTCTGACCTTGTATGTGGGAAGACCTTCACTAATCACCTGAAGTGAAGGATTAAAGTCTTTCCAGTCTTTTTCTGGGTATGTGTCTTGTGCATGTGTTTTGGCCATGTGTGTGTTTGTTTGGGGGTTGGTGTTTGTTTGCTTTTTGCAATTCCTCTGGATACACAGCTGCTTTTAAACATTTTAGTTTCTCTAAGAGTCTTACTTCTGTTTCTTCCAGGGACCTAGATGTCCTGTTGCATTTTTCTGCCTGAGTCTCTTTTCAGTCTATGGTCACATGAGGTCTATAGTCCTCACACAGTTTTCACACACCACAGTGCCACCACTGCCTTCTGTGGCTACCAATGTGAGATATGAACTATGCAGCCCTTCCCTTCTGAGCTCCAAGTCAGGAAATACAGAAACCAGGCCTTCAGGGAGCCCACACGCAGCGTAGTCACTGCAAACAAGCTCCGCTCTCCTTCTTCCAACCTGAGGGAAGAAGTAGGAATTGACTCGGTTTTTCCCCACTGCACGGCACTACGCCAAGGAGGTGGTGAGAAAAGGGTAAGAAAAAAGGTCACAAAATTCCCTACCACTTTGCATATGGCTTCTGGCTTTTTCTTGACTGGGAATTCATTTGTTTGCTGCAGACCCTTGACAGCAGCAAGAATCCAGAGCTTTCCAGAGCCCCCAAAAAGCCATCTTGGTCAGTTTGATGTTTCTGTGGAAGACAAGACCCTGGAGCTTCCAATTCCCATCATTTTGCAAAAACCATCGATTTTTAAACTAAGAATCAATGTTGACTTTTGAAGGCACTACCATCACACTTCAGAGTACGATGACTTTTTTAAATGTACATACCTAAAAAATGATAACATAGACAAAGAAATATAAAAAATTAAAAATATAAGTG